>NC_000012.12:107611643-107763158 GCF_000001405.40 Homo sapiens
TCATTAGGGAAATTTTTAAAATGCAAATAGTGGCTCAAACACACCAGCTTTTCTTAAGGTTCTCAATCTTAAATTACTTTCCCAGAACTTTTGTTTCCTTTTACACACCCTCCAGCTATATGTGTGTTTACTATTACTCTTCTGCTTATCTTTTGCCTGTTTTCCATTAGAGCTTTACTGTTTTTCTTCTTTATTCAGGAGTGCTGTTTACATATTAGGCACATAATCCTTTGTTATAATGTGATAAATATGCCTCAATTCATTGTTTACCTTTTGATTTTGCTTATAATGTTTTCAATTATATGTCCCCAAGGCTGTAATGTTTTTCATTTGTGATTTCTTCCATTCCTTTTATGCCTAGAAATAGATTCACAAACCAGTTAGATATCTTTTATGGTTTTAATTTTTCCTGTATATCTCTAATCAAACTAGAAATGATTTTGATGTGTGGTGTGAGAAAAGTCTCTAATTTGGATGTTTTCCCAAATAACCGACTTTGTGACACTGGTTATTGAAAATCCATCCTTTCCTTCTGTTGGTTGAGATGCTTCGTTTATAGAAGCAAGAGTCATTGGTGCATCTGGTATTCCTGAAGGCCGTTCCTCATTTGCTTGCCTTTTGCTTGCAAATGACCATGTCAAACCAGATGTCAATGATGGGCAACGCCACATGCTCAGAAGCATTCAATTTCCTTGATGCTGACCAGCAGCTTTTATAGAGCAAAGATGACACTGTTATATTGTGAAAGAGAAAATGTCAGATAAATGGTGTTTACCAATGAGATAGCTTAGGGCTGATATTGCAGAATCAATCTAGAAAGTTCCTAAGAGCTTTAAGTGTTTAGCAAACACCCTTAGGTCTGTTGCACCCTAAGACAGACAAACGAACGAAAATCCTCCAAGGCAAGGAAAGATAAATGCTGAAAAGGCCGAGGAGGCTCCTTCGTCGCCTCTATTTTGGTTTCCACATGTGGAGGGTTGTGACCTTACGAGTCACAGGGCTGCACGTTTATTTTTGTCATGCCGGAGCACAAGCATGGCCTCCGAAACACAAGTAAGATTCTCCATTTGTTATTGTCGATTGACCACAGCCACCTTGTAAACGTTTTCCGTTCTCTGGTTTTTAACTCACCACAGGGCATGACTCCCCTGATGTATGCCTGCGTCCGTGGGGACGAGGCGATGGTTCAGATGCTGCTGGATGCCGGAGCTGACCTGAATGTGGAGGTGAGGGTGCAGAGGCCAGCAGGGCCCCTCGGCCGGCAGTCCCCAGGGGAAAGCGAGCAAGAAAGGGGGGCTTTTTCTCCCAAGAGCTGCCACTGAGGGTGCACAGTGCAACAGATAGCTCTTTCCTGTGTCCTTTTAGTTGCTGTGGCCCTGGTGAGACCACCTGACAGATTTTGTCCATCCTGAGGCCCCCAGCCCAACCAAACCCCAAGGAGCTGCCTGCATGTATGTTATGTTTAAAAACAACCAACATAGCTGCAAGGAGCACTGGCTTTTCCTTGGCTCGGCAGTCCTGATTTCCAGAGTTCCTGATTCCCACGGCTGATCAATTTCTTCTAGGATGGGGCAGAAGGAGCACTCCTGAGCCATCAGCCCTCTCTTTCCACTTAACACACAGCAAAGGAGGCACTGGCTCAATCCCTAAGCTGAAGTCTTCCTCCCGCAGATCCTCCACGCTCCCCCTCCAAACCCTCTTTGGCTCACCTTGTTGCCTGAGTTGACAGATCTTAAAGCTAATCTCAGAGCTTCCCTGAGACAATGTGGTCTGGTGGAAAGCATGTCCCCCCAGAAACCCTCCCCTCCCCCTTGCAACATTGGCCTTAGAATCTGACAGATTTGGGTTCAAGTTCTGATACCACCGCTGCCATGGTGACTTGCTTTTGTGCTTGGGCAAGTGCCTTAACCTTTTTTCTCTCCCAATCTGCAGAACGGGAAAATAATTGCACCCATCTCATATAGTTGTCAGAAGGGATATAGAGAGTAGGTTTGGAACTCAGTTAATATTGGTCCCTCCACCCACACCCCAACCTCGTCATAGGTGAAATATCACTTTTTTACCATGTTCTATGCTGCCTGAAGACCTGCTCTCCCTGGCGGCAGGATATTGGCAGTATCAGACAGCAAAGAGATTGACGGGCTGAAATCATAACTCGGCAACCCTGGGAAACCTTTTCAGTTCAAAATTAGATGCCCGTGCAGTCTCAGTACTGTGTGTGTGTGTTTTTTTAATGTGAGTTTTATATTTATCTGAGGAAAGCAGACAATAGACACAGTTTTGGATCCAGAATCATTTTGGATCCTATAAATTTGGAATCTGTGGGGATTTTCCCTCCTGCTATGAATCCTTAAGCACCATGCAGACCCACGCAAGGGGTCCTCAGCATTGGGTTCTGGAGCATTCTCGGGTCCTCTCTAGCCCATCCCACGGATCTCAGCTCAGGCCTTCCTCCAGTGGATGCTTAGTGAACCAAACTGCTCTGAGTGAAGCAGGCATTGAGGTTACATGACCCCAGGAGTGTTTGGGAGAAAAGCTCCATGTGGGTGCTGATCTTGCAAGACCCTGGCCTTCAGCTGCCCTGTCTCTTCTCTCTTGGCCTGGAGTGTTTTTAGGCCTCCATCCTGAAAGACCAATCTCAGATTGTTCATTCATGATGCGTCCTGGGAAAGCTTTGTGCCCATATTTCGGTAGTGCAAGAGGGTCCTTGTCAACCAGGAAGCCAGCAGAAGAGTGAAATGAGAACAGGGTGGGGCCAGCTGTGATCAGATGGTGAAATTCCTCCATCAGATGAGTGATGGACTTCCCTGGCTTGAAAGCTGAAAGCAGACAGTCCCTTGCCTGGGGTTTGCCACCACTGAGAATCTCTCTTAAAAGTGTGGATGGCATGGTAGTGGCATCTCATGCTCTCTGACATCCTGTAGCTCCCAGAACCACCACCCTCTGCTAGGTAGAAGGAAGAAGGGGACAGGCCAGAAAGCTAGCTCATTGTAACTGCCATTACAGCTTCTTCAAAGCACCTGAGAGGCGATCAGAATCATCCATTACTTCCTTTCAGAGGAGAAGTGAAGGAGTCCTTCTTATGCACAAAGGACATAAAGTCACTGAGACATTTTCTCACTGCCTTCAAGGGTAAAATCTCCAAAACACGGACTTCCATTGTCCTGCCTTTGGGGGATTGCTTTGGTCTCTGTTCTTACAAACACAAGCAGGACAGATCCACGGCTTTGGTGAGAGGTGTTTGGAGCATCCAGCAGTGGAAAATCCCTGCCCTGTATCACCAGCTCTTCCCGAGGCATCTTCCAGGATGTCTTTTTGTCCATCTCTAGCCCATGTGCCCAGCCACAGATACGTCAAATTTGCTAGCCTAAGTATTGTGAAGGTCACATTTTGAAAATAACTTCAATTTGTTTATAGGTTGTCAGTACTCCTCATAAATATCCATCCGTCCACCCCGAGACCCGCCATTGGACGGCTCTGACTTTTGCTGTGTTGCATGGACATATTCCTGTAGTTCAGGTATTAACGTATTTCCCTATCCACATCTGACTTTTGATTTTACCTCTTCCATAACACACATCTATACCTCTCCCAGCATGCATATTCTCTAAGACATTCATATTGGTTAACTGCAATTCAATATAGTATATTCATATCATGTGAATACAAATATTATATGTAATGATCTATATGGCCAGGCTTTAACCAATATGAAATGATCACATATCCACACACAGCCTCACACACAGAGTGACAGACCCATGAAGTTCTTCCTGGTTGCTCTGGGGTGGGGCTTCAGCTATTTTTGTGGATTTGTTCATTTTGCTTGTCGCAACATGAACATGAGATTTGGTTGCTATTGATACCTTAGAACCTTCCCTTAGGTGTGACCCCTGGTGTTTGTGTAGAATCCATTGGTTTCCAGCCAGTGGGAAGAAGCATCCAAGACATCAAGGGAGTGTTTCCAAAAGACACTTGCTTGGATCCCACTTCTTGAGAATCAGGTCCAGGAGGTCTAGAGTAGGGCCTTGGCCATGTGTCTTCTGAAACAGCTCCAAGCACAGTGACATGTCCTCATTGGAGGTCCTTTGGGCATATAAATATGTATTGCTTGTACTTTTTCTGGCTGTTGTAGAGTTGGTGTTCAGTGAACAGCCATACGGTACATTCTAAATCATAAGCTTGATCTTTACTTCATCAGAAAAGAGAGATCAGCATCCAAGTTCATGACTGCACCTGGTCCTGTAGTGAGTGCTGAGGTTGGGCACATCAGGAACTCACCTCCTTTTGTGTGGTCCATGCCTCTTGATTCCATGCAGAGCAGGGACAGCTCTGCAATGCTGGAATTTCATGGGAATCCTTTGTTGTTTCCTGGGTCATGAGAATCCTTAGAACAGATCCCAAGTCATGTTTCAGGAGGCTCACAGTGTGACATGTCACACTGAGAGCTGGCTTCTGCCTATAGAACAGTATGCCCAGTCCACTCCTGGTAGAGGAAACTAAGAAAGAAGGGGTCGGTTGGTGGTCTGGTGGACACAGATGTCATTCCTTAACATGCAAGGACATTCCCGACCTTTAAATCAGGAATGGGAACAGTAAGCAGCCAAGCAAAGCCACACAGAAGTCAGGCAACCACCCTGCCGCAGGGCCAGCGATCACGGAGTGCCAAGTAGGTGGCTCCCCCATGGCCGTGCCCTCAGGGAGCCCTAGGTAGGCAGTAAAGATAGCAGATTTTTCCCCCATTTTCCATCAGCAGTGCTGACAGCACATTCACTGTGAATGAGACCAGGCATGGACAGCATCCCTACCTCTTTAGGAAGCCCAGCTATCTCAGGGGATGCACAGAATGAAGTCTTATGAAGCAAAACTTCTGGAAGCTCACTCTGCCACTTTATTAACTGATCTTGCTGTCCAGAAACCTTAGCATTTGCTAAACTGTCCTCAGGGCCATCCAGGTGGGGCCCCGGGAGACCCCCAAAGTCCTTCAGAACTCTTGAGAGTCTGTGGTTCTACGAGGCTACCCTAGTGCCCTCTGAGGCTTTGTGTAACCAGCCCAGGAGGGGAGTCTTCCAGCATTCCTGTGCCAAGAACCTTTAGCCCAGTGCTTCTAGAAATGTTTATATATGTATACATCTCCTGGAGATCTTGTTAAAATGCAGACTCTCATTCAGTAGACCTGGGTGGGGCCTGAGAGTCACCATTTCCCACAAGCTCCCAGGTGGTGCTGATGCTGTTATGCATGGAACACATTCCGAGTAGCCTAGCAGCAATGAGAGACTCTCAGTTCATCCTCCAGGGTACAGTTGCCCTCCAGCCTGTGCACGCTGTCACCAACCTAGAGGGAGGGAAGGAGTGCTGGCATCTCACCCATCCCAGCAGTCTTTCCTGACACCTGTGCACAGTGTATCTCCTCTCACCGTCTCAATGGCCGCTCTTCCTCTGCAGCTCCTCCTGGATGCTGGGGCCAAGGTGGAAGGCTCAGTGGAGCATGGCGAGGAGAACTACTCGGAAACACCCCTCCAGCTGGCAGCTGCTGTAGGTAAGAGCTGCTGGTTCTCACCCTGGCCAGGGAGCTCCAGTGCACCCTGGCCCTTGAAGTGCCTGTGACTATATTTTTGCTTTATTCTCTTATAAAACCCCCTTCTCTGGGCTTGCAGGAAATTTTGAGCTGGTTAGTTTGCTGTTGGAGCGTGGTGCCGATCCCCTGATAGGAACCATGTACAGGAATGGAATTTCTACAACCCCCCAGGGTGATATGAACTCTTTCAGCCAGGCTGCAGCCCACGGACACAGGTAGGCTAGGATGGGCCAAAGCCAGAGGTCCCGAGTGGTGTTTGTTAAAAATGCAGATTCCCAGGCCTACCCCAGACCCATTGTCTCTCTGGATGTGGGGCCCAGAGGCAGTGTGAAGTGGTCCAGGCCCCAGGTCTGGCCAGAGCGACCCTACCTGCCAGCTGACAGCCAACTCCATGCAGTGCACATCCACTCAGAATGCTTTATTTTACCTGCTCCTGGCCAGCTTTAAACTCACAGAGAGACATCACTCTTGGTCGGTTTTGCTCAGGGCACGTCATGTCAGCTGTCATGAAGTAAGAAAAATCCATTTAAAAAATAATAAAACCTTTCATATTTGGTGACTTCCCTTCTACATCTCCTTCTGAATTTCCCCTCTGATCATCAGCTTTTATTACACATAACCCCAAGCAGAGCACATTCACTTTGGAGAGAGGGCAGGCTGACGGTGACAAGTGCAGAGTTCTAGAGCCTTCTAGATTTTTGAGGAAATCACTTAGCTCCAAGTTGCCTCAAGGAAACAAGGCCAGTCATGCCCCATCATCTCCTCCATCCCCAAAATGTGGCACCCACTGTTAGGCCTCTGAAAGTGCCACCCATTGATCTTGTCATCACCCCTCCCAAGCTAGTGGTCCCCTGCTTCCCCAGCCTGCCCCTGCCCTGCCCCAGCAGATCCACTTCCATCTCTGAGTGTCATCCTCTCTGGGTTTATGATTGACAGGAATGTGTTCCGCAAACTGCTCGCCCAGCCAGAGAAGGAGAAGAGTGATATCCTGTCCCTGGAGGAGATTCTGGCCGAGGGGACTGACCTGGCGGAGACAGCCCCGCCCCCCTTGTGCGCCAGCCGCAACAGCAAGGCCAAACTGAGGGCCCTGAGGGAGGCCATGTATCACAGCGCTGAGCATGGCTACGTGGATGTCACAATTGATATCAGGAGCATAGGTCAGTCTGGGCACCCTCCACCACGGGCACCATGGTGCCCCCAGCTTTAGGTCCACACACACATGAACACGCACATGCGCGCACACATACACATGCAAAACACGCACATGCACACACACGTGCACACACACACAAGGGGACCCAGGGAGCTTCCCCTTTACCAGTTGAAACACTTCCAGGCCAAGATGCCCACTCCGTGCCCATAGATAGCAGCATCCTGCCTGCCCCAAAGACCCATCCTCAGACCATCTTTCCATGATTCCCAAACACTGAACCCTGGGGCAGGAATTCAAATCACCTGGGGAGCTTGTCTGAATACCAGTTGCCAGGCCCTACACCCAGAGGCTCTGCTGTCGAGGGTCTGGATGGATAAAGGCTGGAAATCTTTATATTTAACAATCATCCCAGGTGGTTCCCAGTGGTTGAGGAATCACTGCCTTTAGAGCACCCAACTCCACGAAGCAGTGCTGGGCAGTTGTTAGGGTGAGGGCGCCCCTTTCTTACCACAACTCCTGTTGAGCTTCAGAGGGCAAAGCCACTCTCAGGAAGGTTGGGCTGGCTCTTCCTTGGGTAAGCTAGCCCAGAGCCATCTCCTCCATGTGTCTGGGGAACAAGGCTAGCCTAGCCTTCACCAGCGTAGTGGCTTTCGCTCTGCCATGGAAGTGGCCAGACCTAGCCATGGGTCCCTAAACACAGGGTGTGGCAGATTAAGGCAGGCTGAGGACTGAGGAGAAGCCTCCTAATGCTGTTCTGGAAATGACCTCTCTCCAGGGAAGGTGGGGAGGGGTTAGTCTGTGGAACGTTTGTGCCATTGCCCTGGGAGCCTATTTTGCATGATGATGAAGCTCGAGATTCCGAATGGGCTACTTGTTATAAACAGTAGCAAGACACGTCCTCCTCTGTCTGTGCCTCTGCATGAGAGGCGAGAGGCAAATTACAGCAGTCAGCTGCTGAAGAGGTCCCTGTTAAAGGAGGAAGACCTGATGAAGTACCTGCAGATGGAAATGTTGTTTTGCACAGAGGAGCAGCAGGAATATCCTCCCATGTCTTCTTATTCGGGTATAAATATCTGTCTTAGCCAGAGCTGTAAATGGTGAAGTCCACCAATGGGTTTCACCAACTCTAAGCTCTCATCTGGGCACGGATGTGTTCCAGATCCTTGGGCACATCCACTCTTTAATCCTGGGCAAGACTCTTCTCCCCCCTGAGCTTCTTTCCCCAGTAAGTAGAGGGGATGGAGCCTATGCACTCAGAATCCCGAAGTATGGAATATGCATAAGTAGCGTGCGTAATAATTCCAATATGCTACACGATGATTACATCTTGTGAAATGCAGCCTCTAATAATATGAGCAGCATACAGAGATGGACACCCATAGCTGAGGGAATTGAATTATGACCTTTAATTTCAACTTTTGCAGGTCTTGGGGAAAAGCCTACACTGGTTCTGTTCGTTGAAAGTCAATCCCTTGGTCTCGTCATTTAGTAATGTCCTGGGGAAAAGCCAACTTCCAGATAAAAACTCGCCTGCTCCTCTGGTTGTTTTCCACCTTTCCCCTCTCTCTCCCCCTCCCCTGCCACCTTCCCTGGCTCCTCTCCCCGCTCCAGGCGTCCCGTGGACTCTGCACACGTGGCTGGAGTCTTTGCGGATCGCCTTCCAGCAGCACCGCAGGCCTCTCATCCAGTGCTTGTTAAAGGAGTTTAAGACCATTCAGGAGGAGGAATACACGGAGGAGCTCGTTACCCAAGGCCTGCCCCTGATGTTTGAGATCCTGAAAGCGAGCAAGGTATGTGGGGTTTGAGGTTGTTGTGGTCATCGGCAGAGAACAAAGCTGGAGGTTCCCAGATCTGAACGGTCTTTTAGCCTGCTGTTCCCCTTTGAGTGGGATCACTACGGTCATAGCGACCAGTGGCGAATGTAGCCCAGCAGACGAAAGCTACCTGTGCACTCATTTGTGGGCAGCTGTCTTGCTGAGCATCCACATGAGCTAAGGCACTTGGGCACATGGACTGCTTAGATATCTTCTAACTCAAGGAACTTGCAGAAGAGCTGGAGAGATGATACCAACATGTGTGCCCCAACAGCATTATGAAACAGTTGGTACAACAGTATTAAATTTGGGGGTGCAGGCTAGGAGAGGTGTGGGAGTTCAGGAAGGAGGAATGGGAGGGTGGGTACCCTGAGGTGCTGTGACTAGACCACGCGGGGATGGACGATAGGAATCGGTAGGATGAGGGAAATGGTTGCAGCTTTCTGGATAAACAGAACACAGACCCTGCTGAGGTTTCTGAAAAGCCAGGCCCTGGGAGAAGGCTTTTCCGGTCGAGAGGGTCAAATGAACCTAGCTCTGACCCCTTGGGATTCACCCGTGCTGACACCTGTATCCCCAGCAACAGAGAAATGCAGCCTCTTCATAACAGCAGGCCAGCCTTTCGACTATTACAACATTAATTCTTAAAAATATCTTTGGGGTTTTTTGGTGATGCTCTCTAGACACTCCAGTCCCTGCAGGGCCCCAGCACCAGCCCTCTCACCTCTTTGCCCCAGAACAGCCTTTGTGGAACTCTGGGGTCTACTACGGAGCCTGGGAAGTCTCAGGGGAAATTGGCCTCTGAACCAAAGGGCAGTGTGGGTCCCCCTGCCGGGCTGGGCTGTGTGACTGTCCATGGGGCATTAGAGGGGACATGGGGCTGCTTCCTCCACACAGCAGGGATGGCCCTTCAGTAAGGAGGCAGCAACACAGCATCTCTGCTTTCAGAGCTCTGGGCCTCGGGTGGAAAGCGAGTCCCATTAGGTGTTCTCATTAGCGCCCATCCTTAGCCCGGTGTCCCTGGGCCACCTGCAGGCTAGATTTGTGCTTGAGGTCAAGACCCACCAGGACCCCAAATGGGAGCAGGTGCACCAGGCCTAGGGTAACAAGCTTCGGTGAGTCCGTGAGGAGTAAAACCTGCTGGAAGCATTTCAAAACCAAACTCCCCACCTGACTTAAAAATAAGTAGCTGAATAAAGAGACTTTCACCTGAAATCACCTAAGAAACTGTCTTAGTGAGAAACATTCCCAGGGTCTGGGTTCTATCGTTTTGAGGTTTTGTTTGTTTGTTGTTTTTAACTTTTCTTCAGCCTATACTGGGAATTCCAGAATTTATTGAGACATTCTGTGTATTAAGTAAAACTAACCTGTGCGTTCTTAAAGTAAACTTTACTTTGAGGTATGACATACGTACAGAAAAGTGCCCAGCTCATAACTACGATGCCAAATGGATTTTCATAAGATAGACAAACTGTGCAATCCTCATCCAGACTGAGAAATGGAACACGACTAGCACCCAAGTGGTCCCCTTACACCCTACTCCACTGCTATCCTCCAAAGGGCCGCCACTCTCCCGACATCTAACACCACACTTTGTTTTGCCTGGAGCCACAATGTTTGACTTGGACAGCTCATTAGATAGGAAATAGTTCTCAGAACCTGAGCCCATGATTATAAGAATCTACAGGCTGAAGCATACAAAATACCCTCCATTCACAGAAGTGGTGGGTGCTCCCATCGTTTAATAGTCAGTCATTTGAAAATCAGGCTGACTGGGTATGGTGGCTCATGCCTGTAATCCCAGCACTTTGGGAGGCCGAGGTGGGAGGATTGCTTGAGCCCAGGAGTTCGAGATTAGCCTGGGCAACATGATGAAACTCCACCTCTACAAGAAATACAAAAAAATAGCTGGGCGTGGTCGTGTCTCAAGAGCAGGGAGCCAGTGAAGTGTGTTTTGCTTTTACAGGGGGTTCAATGGCATCCCCTACTGGTGAAATGTGGCTTTACACATCACATGCACTGACCACTGGCCGGGGGTGGGAGCGGGTAGGTGGAGGTTAAAAAAGGAGATAATTTCCCCGAGCCTGCAGGGTGAAGTCACCCATTCCCCAAGCATGGGGGATATTCTTGTGGTCAAAAGAAAAACTGGAGGGAGATGATGACAGAGAAATTCCAAGTTGAGAAGACAGTCTCCTGTCGGACAATAGGGCAGCCATCATCACAGAGCTGGCCAGCATTGTTCCTTCTCCCTGCACTTTAGGATTCCTGTTCAAATGTTTGTCCAAACAAGTATCTTTTTTTTTTCTTTTTTAAAACAAGGTCTCGCTCTGTCGCCCAGACTGGAGTGCAGTAGCATGATCTTGGCTCACTGCAACCTCTGCCTCACAGGTTCAAGCCATTCTCGTGTCTCAGCCTCCCAAGTGGCTGGGATTGCAGGCATGCACCACCATGCCTGGCTAATATTTAGTAGAAACAAGGTTTCACCATGTTGGCCAGGGTGATCTCGAACTCCTGACCTCAAGCAATCCTCCCACCTCAGCCTCCCCAGGTGCTGGGATTACAGGTGTGAGCCACTGCTCCTGGCCAAATATCTTGTTTTATCAGAGTAGTGAATAGATTCTTGCAAATAAATCCACTTTATGTTCAACTTATAGAAACAGCTGTCCTGTAAAATGAGGCATATTCGTCCCACCATTATTGGTTTGTGCTCACTCAAACCATACTTGAAATCCGACCACACATCTGCTTCTATGTTCTTGTTTCTAAATTTGGACTTCAAATGAATTCAGTGTCTCTAGACTTCCCCAGGAGCAGAACAATATATTCATTTTTTTGAATACATCTGTTTAAAAAGACTTCCCAGCTTATTTGTCTTTTTTTTTTTTTTTTTAAGATGGAGTCTTGCTCTGTTGCCCAGGCTGGAGTGCAATGGTGCAATCTCGGCTCACTGCAACCTCTGCCTCCCAGGTTCAAGCAATTCTCCTGCCTCAGCCTCCTGAGTAGCTGGGACTATAGGCCCACGCCACCATGCCCTGCTAATTTTTGTATTTTTAGTAGAGGCAGGATTTCACCGTGTTGGCCAGGATGGCCTCAATCTCTTGACCTCGTGATCTGCCCACCTCAGCCTCTCAAAGTGCTGGGATTACAGGTGTGAGCCACCACGCCTGGCCTTTTTTTTTTTTTTTTTTTTTTTTTTGAGATGGAGTCTCACTCCGTCGCCCAGGCTGGAGTGTAGTGGTGTGATCTCAGCTTACTGTAACCTCTGCCTCTCAGGTTCAAGCGATTCTCATGTCTCAGCCTCCCTAGTAGCTGGGATTACAGGCACCCACCGCCATGCCTGGCTAATTTTTATATTTTTGGTAGAGACAGAGTTTTACCATTTTGACCAGGCTGGTCTCGAACTCCTGACCTCAGGTGATCTACTTGCCTCGACCTCCTAAAGTGCTGGGATTACAGGCATGAGCCACCACATCCGGCCTCTAGCTTATTTTTCTAACACATCATTCCCCTGGGCATAATCAAGAGATAATCAGGAGTGCCCACTTGGTTCCAGGCACTACAGTGGTGATGGGACAGACATGTTCTTTATCCTTCTGGAGCTTACTGACCAAAAGCAAGAAAATAAATAAACGAAACAGAGTCAGAGCATGATCAGTGTTTACAAAATGAAATGGGACCATGGTATGGTCTCTGGGGGTGGGGCTGATGAGGTCTAACTTAGACGAAACGGTCAGGAAGTTCTCCCTGAGAAAGTGGCATTTGAAAAACCACCTAAGTGAGGAAAAGCTTCCAGCCATGCAGAGATCTAGGGCAAAAGCATTCCATGTCAGGGAACTGCAGGTGATTAGGCTCCTAGTAGGAACGTGCTTTGTGTGCTCAAAGGAAAAAGTGTAGGAGATAAAAATTAGATTGCACTGGGCCAGGGAAAGTTTGGCTTTTCTTCTATGTGTAATGAATGGGACACAACGAGAGAGGTTTTAGATAGGGGCAAAGTGTGATCGGTGGGGTTTTTTTTTTTTTAAGTTTTCAAGTTTTCATTTTTTGATGAAAAACTCAAAACTTAAAATGTTTCTGTTTTTAAACTTTTTATTTTGAGATAATTGTAGATTCATGAAGTTGTAAAAAATAATACAGAGAGATTCCTGTGTACCATTTACACAGGGGGATCTCAGTTTCTCCCAACGGCAATATCTTGCAAAACTATGGTAAAATATCACAACCAACATAGTGACATGATCGTCAACATGCAGAAAATTCCCATCACCACAAGGATTCCTCATGTTGCCCTTTTATAACCACACCCACTTCCCTCCTGCCTCCACCCTTCAGCCCCTACCTAGCCACCATTTCTCTAATTTTGTCATTTAAAGAACGTGATTTAAATGGAATCATACAGTATGTAATTTTGGAGATTGGACTTTTGGCAGTCATCATAATTCTCTGAAGATCATCCAGGTTGTTGCATGTATCCGCAGCTTGTTCCTTTTCATTGCTGAGTAGTATTCCATGGAATAGATGTACCCCAGTTTGTTTAAGCACCCAACTGTTGAAGGACATCGGAGTTGTTTCCAGTTTTAGGCTATCACAAATAAAGCTGTTACAAACATTTACGCACAGGTTTTTGTGTGAATAGATCTTCATTTCTCTGGTGTAAATGCCTGGGAGTGCAACTGCTTGGTTGTATGGTAGTTGCATGTTTGGTTTTTAAATAAACTGCCAAACTGTTTCCCAGAGTGACTGTACCCTTTTACATTCCCACTGGAAAAGACTGAGTAATTCAGTTGCTCCATACCCTCACTGTTTGGTGTTGTCACTATTTTTCATTTTAGCCATTTTGATAGGTATGTAGTGATATCTCATTGTAGTTTTAATTTGCATTTCCCTAAATGGCTAATGATGTTGAATATATTTTCAAGTGCTTGTCCACTATCTGTGTATTCTCTTCAAGTGAAATGTCTCTTTGTATCTTAAGCCTGTGTTCTAAATGAATTGTTTGCATTTCTACTGTTGAATTTTGAGTGTTCTTTATGTATAGTAGATACTAGTCCTTTGTCAGATATGTGGTTTGCAAATATTTTCTCCCACTCTGTAGCTTGTCTTTTCATCCTGCTATCTTGATGCTGGCATTGATTTATGTTTTTATTCATTCACTTGGAGATCTTCTTGGTCCATGGTATTATGGGTGCTCTTTGATTGAAATCTGGATGTTTTCTGAGGCTCTTGATCTTATTTAGACCTTCTGCTTTAGCTGACCTTCTCTGATACTGCTCTGACAGGGGAAGAGTGGCTGTCACCTCATTACTGTCAGGTGTATGTAGAAATCCAGGTTCCCCTACTTGGCCTCTGTTGGCACCCAAGTTAGGGTCTAGTTATTGGGGGTAGGTGGGGGCAGGTAAGTGCTCTGGCTCCCACGTAGTCTTCTCTGACATGTGGTGGGGTGGCCTCATGACTACTGGGCAGTAGTAAGAGTCTGACTCTCCAGTGGCATCCTCTAACACCACCCCAGCAGGGAGTGGGAGGGATGCCTCATTATTGCTGGGTGAGAAGGGGGTCTCCACTGACACCTGGGTGTCAGGGGGTGGGGGCAATACTCTTTACTGGCTGGTGGGGATAAAAATCCTGGCTCCCTACTTGACCTTCGATGACACCATCTCAGTGTCAGGGGTGCCGTGTTGCAGCCTGGCAAGAGTAGAAGTCTAGCCTTCCCACTTGACTTTTGCTGGCAAGGTGAGTCCACAGGTTTTCTGTGCTGTTCGGCTGGAGTAGAGCAGCTATTGTCTAAAAGTTTCCTGCCTTCTAGGCTATCCCTTTAGTGGTCCTTTGGCTAGATACAGCAGGCTTTTGTTGTGGCTTTTTTCCCCATCTGTGCCCTCAGTTGCAGCTTCTTCAATGTCAAGTATGGGATGATGAGGTGAAAAGGAAGTCCAGTGAACCCACAACTGTGCTGCTCCTCCAGTCCCAAACTCCCTAGGTCGTCTGCCGCCTTCTCTCTACCTTTTAAAGTCTTCTTATGTTTCTTTTATATGTAATGTCCAGAGTTTTTAGTTGCACTTTGCAAAAGGGTTAGGGAAAAGTATGTCTATTACATCTTCCCGAAGCAGAAGTAATCATGTGTTTTTAAAAGATCAATCTGACTGCTGGGTACTATCGTCATCTTTTTTTTTTTTTTTTTTTTGAGATAGAGTCTCACTCTGTCACCCAGGCTAGAGTGTAGTGGTGCGATCTCGGCTCACTGCAAGCTCCACCTCCCAGGTTCACACTATTCTCCTGCCTCAGCATCCAGAGTAGCTGGGACTACAAGCACCCACCAGTATGCCCGGCTAATTTTTTTTTGTATTTTTAATAGAGATGGGGTTTCACTTTGTTAGCCAGGATAGTCTCGATCTCCTGACCTCGTGATCTGCCTGCCTCAGCCTCCCAAAGTGCTGGGATTTATTGTCATCTTCTTAAACCATCTGGGATCTCAGGTACCCTCAAAGAAGTGAGTCTGTTTCCAAAGCCCCCAGTTGGACAGTGACTATCCATGTCACCAAAAGCAAAAACCTCCATGTAAGCAGAAAAAAATAATAAATGGGATCCATAAAGCCTCTAAGGAGTGGTCTAATCTCTTTGTGCCTCTACCTCTCTAATAATTAACCATGAACAAAATGACAACTACCAAATAGACATAGGATCAAATGCCAAAAGTATCAAATAGCTCAAGAAGTCATCTGATTTGGGAGGCCAAGGCAGGTGGATCACTTGAGTCCAGGAGTTTGAGACAAGCCTGGGCAACATCACAAGACCCCATCTCTAAAAATAAAAATTAAAATTAAAATTAATTTAATTCTAAAAACAGAAAGCCAACTGACACGTTCCCAGTTCCACACAAAACTGCAGTCAAACCATCTAAGAGAGGAAAGTCACAGTGTGTATTCAAAACCTTTGAAAATAAGATTTAGTAAAACAGTTTGCTAAAAATTCTTAATTTATAGACCCCAGGGACAAGTTTGTGTGTAGCAACTGATTGGGCCTGTCTTTCTTACCTCCTTGTTTCATTTCTTCACTCCCTCCCCTCTCCTCATTCAGTTCTTCACCATCCCTCTGGCCTCCTTTTTCTCTATGGTCAGGACCTGAGCTTAGGAAGTGACCTGCCCCAGGCACTTAAGCCTGGACACGGATCTAATGAAAATGACCACTGTGTGCCAGGTGCCATTCCAGGCACTTTCTACTCATCAGCTCCTGGGAAGCAGGTAGTTGTATTTTTATTCCTATGTTAGCGATGATAGCCCTGAGGCCCAAGAGTGGGTCACCCTGCAGAGCCAGGATCCTGACCCAGACACAAAACCCATGCTCTTAACTGTGAGGTCACCCTGTCACTCTGCTCCGTTTCAGGGTTTTACCTGCAGTGCACATCTCACTGTGAAATGACAGCTTCATCCCCCTTAAGGGCAGAAGCAGACATAGCCTGCAGCCATGGTGACTTCTTTTGGTGGGAAGATGGTCCCAAGTCAGGTGCAGTCATGGGCCCCTAGCATCTGCATTGGGAGGAACCTTGGAAATCATCTAGCCCAGTGAATATCCCAACCCAGTCATCTGAATCCTGCTATCAGAATCTTTTCCAGACCTGGAAAAAGTACTACTTAAAGAAAGCATGAAATAGGTAAAAATACCATCGATGCAATTTATTATTTACTTGATCTTTTTCTTAAATGTGTTTGAAACATATTACTACCATAAGTGGATACCCTACATCACTTGCTGGGAGTAGAAGGGACACATCAAAGTAGATGTGCGACTGCACAATTAGCAGTAAGATGAGTGCTGCACTCAGGGCCTCAGGATCTTGCTGGGATCCTTCTGGGGCCGGTAGCCCACCCTCCACCTGCCTCCACCTTTCCAGGTGTGCTCACTCCTCATAACGCAGCCTAGCCTGCTCCACAAGGGAGCCATCTGTAGAGGTGGGTCTTTTTTTGGGGGGTGGGGGAGGGAGATGGACTTTCACTCTTGTCACTCAGGCTGGAGTACAGTGGGGCGATCTCCACTCACTGCAACCTCTGCCTTCCAGGTTCAAGCGACTCTCATGCCTCAGCCTCCCGAGTAGCTGAGATTAACAGGTGCCTGCCACCATGCCTGGCTAATTTTTTGTATTTTTAGTAGAGACAGGGTTTTACCATGTTGGTCAGGCTGGTCTTGAACTCCTGACCTCAGGTGATCCACCCGCCTCAGCCTTCTAAAGTGCTGAGACTATAGGCGTGAGCCACCACACCTGGCCAAAGTGAGTTTCTTGACATGGATTAAGATAGAGAGCTTGCTGTCAGTGTCCCTGAAAGTAACAGTAATTCTACTTTCTCTTGATTCTGAGACACAGCTTTTTTCACATTTGAGCATTTCTCCATTTGAAACAGGTCTGAAGATAGATGTGTACATTTAATAAGGAGGGCTTTTTTTTTCTTTTCTTAAAATCTGACATGAATTTTATGACATCTTAAAAAAAGGGATGAGGTTCAACTATGGGAAATTGCTGTTTAGGAGTTAAAAATGGTCAAATAGCAGCACTTTCATTCAACCTAACAGCATATGGTGATACATTCTCTTTTAGCCCTCATAGCAACCTCATCAAGCAAGTATTTTTAATCCTCTTTGGAAAAGAACACCAAGGCCCAGAGAAGCTGAGTAACTTTGCCAAGGTTACAGAGCTAGTGAGTGAAGGGCCAGAACTAGGACCCCCTCCATCTGGTCCCATTGTTTATGTTTTTACCACCACATAGAACTCCAGCCTGAGCCACCTATAAAGGACCTTTGGGAGTAATCCTAGTGCTCCTTTCAGAAGAAAAGGAAGTATTTCCACATCTTTTTAGGAGAAGAGTGGAGTCAAAGGAGAAGAGGAAAGATGTCACCCCCCAAATTCACAGGACTCCATCTCAAGAGAGTTTCCTGGTAACTATGCTATTAAGAATTTTGCAGGGCCAGGCGTGGTGGCTCATGCCTGTAATCCCCGCACTTTGAGAGGCCGAGGCAGGAGGATCTCTTGAGCCCAGGAGTTCAAGACCAGCCTGGACAACATAGTGAGACCTCATCTACACACACACTAACACACACACAATTAGCTGGGCACAGTGGTGCACACCTGTAGTCTCACCTACCTGGGAGGCTGAGGTGGGAAGATCACTTGAGCCCAGGAGGTCAGGGTTGCAGTGAGCTGGGGTTGCACCATTGCACTTCAGCCTGGGCAACAGGGAGAGACCCTGTCTCAAAAAAAAAGAATTTTGCTTCACTCCCCTTTAGTTCTTTTGTATGACCACACAGTTCTGAGTCCAGAGGACCTGAATTTACTCCATGTGCACATCTAGAATTTTCTGTGAGGGACTTGAATGGCAAGTACCCAGCAGCATGCCAGTAACATGCACTAACCGGGTACTGTGTCCTCAGGCCTGGCCCCACCCCCACCCACCCACCCTCCTGGACTCATCCTGGCCTCCCAGGTCAGACCCTGCATGTGAAGACCAAATGGCCTGCTGCCCTGAGACTGCAGCCTGTTATCCCTTTGGCCTAAAGCACTGTGCTTAAATGTGCTGCTCAGAGAATCCAGGCATCTGACCCAGCACAACCACCACTCATTCCCGCCTCCAGAATGGAGCAAGCCTCAAGTTTGGTTGCTTCCATTCCATTGTCTTTGGGTTTTGATCCAGGACTTACCAAGCCCATAGGATAACCCAGCTTATCATCACAGTCTGACCTATGGATCTCACCCCCTGACAGCAGTCACCTGATACGAATGACACCACCCCTCACACTCAAAAGGGCCCTCCTGGAGTTCAGAATCGTATTGGGTCCCAGGTAACCAGGACAGATGACACTGGTGCTCCACTGCCTGGAGGAGGAGCACTGGGAAGGGCACAGGGCAGACACCTCCACAAACATGGACAGATTCAAGGATGCAGCGGGGAGTTTTCTCTTAGGACTCTGTTCCTTGAAAAAGAAGCGGCTAGAAAGCCTCGTAAAAGGCAGCATCTTTGGTGCCACCACGGCGTAGCACCCTAATCCTCTGCACAATGTCCAGCTCCCGGGAACCAGCCAGTGCTTGGCATTTAGTAGACGCTCAATAAATATTTGGAGAATGAATGAATGAATGAATGAGTGAATATGTAGCTTAGTGAGTGGGGAAACATTCCCTAAACCTCTGGCGAATGAATGGATGAAGTGTAGGGAGCCCCCTGATGTTCAGTTAAAGCCTCCACCCTCCCTCTTTCTCTCTTCTGAACTTCTACTGCTTCCATTATAATCATATTTCCATGGTAGGAAGTTTTTAAAATTTATTTTTAGAGGTGGGGTTTTGCCATGTTGCCTAGGCTGGCCTCAAACTCCTGGGCTCAAGCCATCCTCCCACCTCAACCTCCCGAGTAGCTGGGACCATAGTCATACACCACCATGCCCAATTAAAAAAAAAAAAATTTAAAGACAGGGTCTCATGATGTTGCCTAGGCGGGCCCCGAGCTCCTGGGCTCAAGCAATCCTTGGCCTCCCAAGCAGCTGGGACTATAGGCATGCACCACCACACCGGGTTTTTAAAATAGATTTTATTTTTTTAGGCCAGTTTTAGATCTACAGAAAAATTGAGAAGATAGTACAGAGAGTTCCCATATACCCCCTCACTCACTTTTCCCTATGATTAATAGGCTATATTACTATGGTACATTTGTTATAATTAATGAACCAATATTGATACATTATTATGAGCTAAAATCCAGACCTTATTCAGAGTTCCTTAGGGTTTTGTTTTTGTTTTTGTTTTAGATTCACAGGGTTTATGTGTGGGTTTGTTACATGGATATACATGATGCTGAGGTTTGGGCTTCAATTGAATCCATCACCCAGATAGTGAACATAGGGCCCAATGGGTAGCTTTTCAGCCCTTGCCTCCTTCCTTCTCTCTCTCCTACCTCTTTTGGATCCCCATTGTCTGTTGTTCCCAACTTTATTTCCATGTGTACCCAGTGATCAGCTCCCACTTACACGTGAGAACATGGGGTATTTGGTTTTCTGTTTCTACATTCATTCACTTAGGATAATAGCCTCCAGCTGCATCCCTGTTACTGCAAAGGACATGATTTCATTCATTTTTATGGCTGCATAGTAGTCCGTGGTGTATATTTACCATGTTTTCTTTATCCAGTGCACCACTGATGGACACCTTGGTTGATTCCATGTCTTTGCTGTTGTGAATAGTGCTGCAATGAACATGTGAGTGCAGGTAGGGTCTTTTGGGTAGAGTGATTTCTTTTCCTTTGGGAATATGCCCAGTAATGGGATTTCTGGGTCCAATGGTAGCTCTATTTTTAGTTCTTTGAGAAATAGCCAGAGTTCCTTAGTTCGTACCTGGTGTCTTATTCTGCTCCTGGATCCCATCCAGAGTACCACATTACACTTCATTGTCATATCTCTTAGGCTCCTCTCGATAGAGGCAGTTTCTCAGACTTTCCTTGTTTGGGGTGACCTTGAAAGTTTTGAGGAGCACTGGTCAAGCATGTGTAGGCTGCCCCTCTAGTGGAATATGCCTGATGTTTTTCTCATGATTAGACTGGGGTTATGGATTTTTCAGAGGGAAACCCTGGAGAGAAAGACACCTTATCAAGGGCACATTCCATCAAGGTGAGTTATCACTATTGATGTTGACCTGAGCCACCTGGCTGAGGCAGTGTTTGTCGAGTTTCTCTACTGTAAACTTCCTCTCTTCCCCTTTTTCCATACCGTCCTCTTTGGAATGCAGTGAGCATGCACTGCCCTCACCTAAAAAGTGGGGAGTTGCACCTCCCCCTGACCATTGTTACGTATTTGAAGATTGTCCATTTGGAACAAGCATGGCCAGCCCTTATATTTACATTCTCAGATGATAGAGTACACACTGAAGTTAGAAAGAGAGGTCAACTGTGAGTTCCAGCAGAGGAGGGGTCTTGCCTTGCCTGCTTCTGTGGCCCCAAAAGAGTGCCTTTCACACTGCAGGACACCTCTTCCATGTTTAATCAATACCTCCTGAATCGAGTTAAACCACCACCGCTGTCCGCCAAAAAAGAAAAACTCGCAAAAGAGTCTACAGACTGTACATGCCTCTCTCAAGGGCACAAGAGTCCAGGAAATGGGTTCTTATTGCTTCACTCGGAGTTGATTAGAAGGAAGCTGATTCACCAGCAAGATGCACGAGACACACCCTGGTGTAGATGAGTGAGACCTCATCCCTAACCTTCATAATACAGTCTGTACAAAGCATTTTTGCAGATAACAGGTCTTATCTTTTTTATGACCAGCCAGTACTTACCACGTGTCCACTATGTGTCTGGCACTCTGGATCACAGAGATGATGAAATGTGGTCCAATAGATGTAAACTTTAGATGAGATGTGTTAGTTTTCTATTGCTGCAGTAACAAATGACCATAATTCAGAGGCGTAAGGCAACACCTGTTTATTATCTCATGGCTTCTCTGGGTTGGAAATCTGGGTGCAGTGTGACCCAGCTGGGTTCTCTGCCTAGAATCTCAAGGGCAAAATCAAGGAGTCAGCAGGATTGTGTTCCTTTCTGGGGGCTTTGGGGAAGAATTGCTTCCAAGCTCTTTCAGAGATTTTTGGGTAGAGTTCAGTTCCTTGTGGCTGTAGGACTGAGGTCCTACTTCCTTGCTGACTGTTGGTGTCACACTTAACTCCTAGTGTGGTTACCTGAGTCCCCTCACGAGCTTGCCATGTGGCCCCTCCATCTTCAAGCCAGCAACAGAGCATCAAGTCCTTCTCAGACTGGGATCTCTTTGTCATCTTGTTCTCCCCCCTCCCGTCTGAAGTCCTTTTCTGCTTCTACTTTTAAGGGCTCATGTGATTACTTTGGGCTCGCCCAGATAATCCAGGATAATCTCTCTATTTGAAGGTCAACTCATGAGGAACTGCTATGCTCTTGAATGTTTGTCCCCCCAGAATTTAAATGTTGAAGTCCTAACCCCCAAGGTGGTGATATTGGGAGGTGGTGTCTTTGGGAGGTGAGTAGGTCTACAAAAGACACCCCAGAGGAGCCTCAGCACCCCTTCTACCACGTGAGGACATAGCTAGAAGGCACCATCTATGAGAAAGTGGGCCCTCACCAAACACCGAGTCTGCGGGCACGCTGATCTTAGACTTCGTAGCCTCCAGAACAGTGAGAAATAAATTTCTGCACTTTATAAGCCACCCAGTTTAGAGTATTTTGTTAGCAGCCCTAATGGACTAAAGCACTAACCTTAATTACTCCTGCAAAGTCGCTTTTGCCATGTAAAGTAACGTGTTCATGGTCCCAGTCCCAGGGGTTATTAGGGCATGCAATCTTCTAGGAGGCCATAATTATTCTTACCACACAGTGCTTCTCAAGCATGAATGTGCATGGGAGTCACCTGCAGAGTGTGTTAAAAATGCAGATTCTGATTCAGTGGGCCTGAATGAGAGTGTGCATTTCTTACAGGATCCCAGAGGATGCTACTGCTTGTGGTCTATGGAGCACGTTTTGGGTGGCAGGGCTTTAGGCCAGAGGAAACAAATTTATAGCCCACAGCCCAGGTCGAACCCATGACAGAATTTCAGTGCATGGAACCTGTGGTTCTCAAACTTAAGGGAATGTCAGTATCACCAGAAAATTTGTTAATACGCAGATGCCTGGGCCTCACTCCCAGGGTTTTTAAGTCAGAAGGTCTGGGGCGAGGCCCAAGCATTTACATTTCTAATAAGCTCCCAGGTGATGCTGGTCCAGGGACCACACTTTGAGAAGAACTGCATTAAGCCGATAGGCAGGCAGTTATTTTTATGAGTATTAAGTGAGGGGAGCACCGAATGCCCTTTGGTTATAAAGCCTCTCGTCATTGAAAGTTGAGTCTCTTTGTCCTTCAACTATGATTATGCCTCTGTGAATCACATCTGAGGTGACACTGTTCCTTCTGTGATCTACCCACTTTAATTGAAGGGTTTGGATTTTCTTTTGTATGCCAAGCTGTATGCTTCTGCCTCGGGAACACAATGAAGTAGGTAGATTTAAGAACAGCTTGAACCACTCACATCACTAGTGGCCCCAAACCCATCTTTTAAAATTCAAAAGAATATTTATTGTTTTTATCACAAAAGCAATGCTTGTTTCTTGTAGAAAATATAAATAAAAGAAAAAACATCCTCATCTCACCCAAAGGTAACTACTCTATTTTTTTAGATCTTTTTCTATACATATCTGTCAATCCAAATATATTTGTAGAGGGTTTTATTGCCAAAAAGACATGGTACAAACTGTGTTGTAACCTACTTTTCTTCCTTAATCTATTGTAAACATTTTTCAATGTAACCCCTTTGAGCCCCTAGTTTCAACACCCTTTGTCCAACAAAAAGAAACAAAATGCTCTGTTTCGTTTTTCCTCCGATACACCTGAAGCTGGAGGGAGATTAATGAACGGAAATGGCTGCAAAGTGGGAAGAGGTCAACGTGAACGATGAGGGTCAAGGACAAGCAGGCGCGTGTGTCCCCAGCACTGAAGGGCAGCTGTAGTTTTGGGTTGCAGAACCAGTTCCCTCCCACCTTTTGTTTGGAGCCAGTGATTCAGCTGAGCACTTCTGGGTCCGGAAATGCCTCAGCACCAGAATCAAGTTCACAAGAAAGCTGAATCAGGAGCGTTTGTCTCGTTAATGGAGAACACAGTCACAGGATCAAAAGGGCTAATTTCAGGATAATTCTCCTGAAATCCTGCTAATTTCAGGATAATTCACTGCTTCCAGAATTTTAGAGTACTGGTAAAGGTGGGTTTGGGGTAAAAACTTATTTTCCATTCTCTATGAACTACAAAAACCTGCTTTCCAGTAGGTAGCGAATCATGAGGGCCAGAGAGAAGAATTTCTTAAGCTTCACCAGTGAACCCACTAGAAATAGACAGTGGACAAAACAGAGCAAGTAAATCCAGGACCCATGAATGCAAACGACTTCTGTGCTACCCCAGGGGATTTCTCCTGTGGCCTGCAGTAAATGTGTGAGCTCTTATCACCTGGAGGGACGCATTCCTGGGGCACAGCTTGACTGAGGCTGGCCACAGCCCCCTGTATCATGACCTCCTCTTTCTTTTCTGCAGAATGAAGTGATCAGCCAGCAGCTGTGCGTCATCTTCACACACTGCTACGGGCCCTACCCCATCCCCAAGCTCACAGAAATCAAACGGAAACAGACCTCGCGCTTGGGTGAGTGGTTCCCCCAGGCCTGTGTTGGCTGCTGCTTTGTGATTTAAGGACGAGGAGCCAAAGAATGCCATAAGGAATGCCAGGAGGGAGGGGGTTCAAGGGCAAACAAGGTCAGTACAGGAGTCAGGCCGGGGGAGATCAGAATTTCTCCTTTATTATGTGATGACACTGGAGAACATACCTTGGGAATGTGGACAAGGAGATTTGCCAGTTAAAGGGACTTTCTCCCCTAGACACAGACAGTGGGGGCTGCCAAAGGCCTCCTGATTCCATACACATCCCCCACACAGGTGGCTCCTGAAAGAAGTCCACACTGCACGTGGCAACTCTGTCCCCCAAACTCTCCCCTCTAAAAGTCCTTCTTCCTCACTCAGAAGGAATGAGAAGGAGACAGTGAGGGGCCAGGGCTGTTCCTCTAGTGGAGATCCTTCTACAGGAAACTAGGAGAAGGGAGGAACAACCCCCCCCCCCCCACCCACCCACACACACACACACACACACACACACACTCCCATAAAAACATGAGGGGACATACCTGAGCGGCAGAGGCTGGATGCTTATAAGTCTCATGAGAGTATCAATAACCTCTTCTGGGAGGCGTGCACTGTGCCGGCTCCAGCCAAGCACTTGACCTACCCCATCTCAAGTCATCTTCAGGCCACCCCAAGAGGCAGGCACTGTGACTGCAATATCAGTACATTATGGCTGCAATATCAGTAGAGGGTGAAGCTGGAACTTGAACACAGGTGTGCCCGGAAGCTGTAATTTTGTCGTTCTGCAGTCCCAGCTTCTGAGATTTTTCAGAAGAAACCTTTCCATCAGGCACTAGGTTCTTTCAGAGGATCCTGGGGCTGTTGCAACCGAGTTGATCAACCTACAAAAAGGAGAAGGAATATTAGGCTGCTTTGAGGCCTGAAACATGAGCCTTCTGTTGCAAGGGCCTGTCTCCCTGCTACCTGGAGATTTATCAGATATTAAAGATAAAGGATTCTTTTTCCCTAGATAGGTTGGGGACTTTTCCTACTTCCTGTTTCCCTTTCCTAAGAAAATTGAAGGACATCTGAGTAATAGAAGACTGAAATTTCTACTCTTTAGCAAAATTTGAAAGGGATGAGCCAGTTTAGATTAATTAAAAGGCTGAATTCATGGGACTATTTTAAAGTTATTTTTGTTCCCATCTTGAATAACTTGTTAATTTAAATGAGACACAACTTTTTGCTGAAATGGAAAATTTTAGCAGCTCAGTCAAAGGCTGTCTATCTTTCTGACCATGTGTAGAGGAAAACTGGGATGTGCCCAAGTCCCAAGTACTTCTCCCTTATAGAAAACAGGTATTAATTAAAATGTTATCAGGGCAACACGTTATAAAGACCAGTCAAATTAGCAAACATTAGAGAGTGAGGGGTACATTCCCAGGACATAGCAACAATCTCTGATGTCTAGGTGCCTCATAAGACACCCTCCTTAGAGCAAACTTTTGCAAGGTCGGTTTCAATGGCATAAAATCTGCTTTCCCTTAGCTACAGGAAGGGAGGGAACATTTTCTCCTCCTGAATTTGCTGAGGTTTCTTTCACTAGCAGTTAAAAGTTTCTGGTTTGGGGCCAGACGTGGTGGCTCACGCCTGTAATCCCAGCACTTTGGGAGGCTGAGGCAGGCAAATCAAATACCATCAACATCCATTGAGCATCTACTATAATGGTCATGTTTACTGAGGGATACTCATGTGTCAGCCATTTTGCTAAGTGCTCTTCATAAATTCACTCATTTATTTGTCATTACTTTTAAGGTCAGGAGTTCGAGACCAGCCTTGCCAACATGGTGAAACCATGTCTCTACTAAAAATACAAAAAATTATCCGGACGCAATGGCGCATGCCTATAGTCCCAGCTACTCAGGAGGCTGAGGCAGGAGAATCACTTGAACCTAGGAGGTGGAAGTTGCAGTGAACCAAGATTATGCCACTGCACTCCAGCCTGGGCAACAGATTGAGACTCCATCTCAAAAAATTTAAAAAAAAAATGTTTTTAAGTGCCTGTTTTTCAGCCCAAGCATTAGAATTCCAAGGGTTGGCACCAAGAAGAAAAGAAAAGGCAGACCTGAGAGGCTCAAAGCTCATGATATAAAAGAAAAAGCATCATGTAGTTATTAACAAATGGAATATACAGCAGGTACATTTTGTGTCTTCAGTCTAGCAGCTCAAGCTAGCATAACTAAAGGTCACCAAATAGTGGTTCTTTAGGGACCTGCTTTAAAGGAAAGACAAGAATGATCAGTGACAAGGATCTCAAACCGGCATCTCTGTGGGACCAGGCAGGTGATATAAACGAGTGAAATGAATTCAGCGCTAGACAATAGGGAGTGGTGGGGACTGTGGCAAATCGGAGAGCACTGATTTTGTGTGTGTGTGTGTGTGTGTGTGTGTGTGTGTGTGTGTGTGTGTGTGGTATGGTGTCCTGTTGCCCTCCCAATGAATTCTGGGAGAGAGTGGTGAAAGTAAAAGTAGAGGATATTAACAGTCTGGGAAGCAGGAATGGGGGACTAGCTGGAGATGAACAGTGGGTGTGATAGGTGAGCAGAGGGAGGCAGGTTACCGAGCAGAGAGAAAGTCAAGTGAAGAAATGAGTTTTCGTCAACTCTCAGGCCTTCTCCCCTGCAGCCTCTTTTCCCTTTATCTGGATCATTTCAGAAGTTCTGGGGGGAGTTTTTTAATTAAAATGTTTAAAGAAAGTGGGATTACACAGGTGATTTTTACCGTTTATACTTTTCTAATATTTTTAAAGTAAGAGCCTTTTTTTAAAAAATGAGAAGAAGTGAGGTAGCTCTGTACTGACAGAGAAAGGTGAGTGGAGGACCACCAGGACCACCGTCTGGGCAGCACAGGGTTCAGGGTCTGAGTGAAGAGAATCAGTCTGGAAGGCAAATTCTGGGTCCAAGTTACAGCAGTCTGGGGAAAATGCAGCCAGACCAGGGCCCCAAGGTGCAGTCAGCCAGGGTGAGCCCAACAGCTGAGTGGTCACAGCCCCCAGGAAGACAGGGGCTTGGTCCTGCCCTCAATAGTTTAGGACAACCCATAAATCCAGCCATAGGAAGCAGTGGGGTTTCTTTTCAGCACAGCCCCTGAACCCCTGGGGAAGGGACCATCAACAACAAAGGGGCCTCCAGGCTAAGAAGGTTCCCCGGGTCCTCGGCAGCCTCCTAGAGCAAGTTTCTGCAACAGGAGTCAAGGCGTTCTTTCATTCACTCGAAAAACATCCATTGAACCTCTACTAATAGTATAATGGTCAAGTTTATTGAGGGATACTTATTTGTCAGCCACTTTGCTAAGTGCTCTCCATAAATTCACTCATTCGTTTATTCCTCACTACTCTGTGATGGAGTATAATGGGTATTACAATTTCCATTTTACAGAAGGAGAAACTGAGGCATGGGTTGGCTAAATAACTTGCCAAGGTTACAGAGCTGAGATTTCTAGCCTCAGAGCCCACACTCTTACTACACTTTACCACCTTTCCGTACTAGACACAGATGAAAGGCTTTGAAATGGACAGACATGGATACATCATAGCATGATGAGGCTACAGCAGGGGTGCATATGCTGTGGGAACTCAGCTGGGGCTACTGGGTCTGGGGAAGGTGGGGGAATCTGGCAAGGCTTACTGACCAAGGGTGTCTGATCAGTATGTCTGAAACTTGAAGACCACCTAGGGATGAGCCAGGTTTGGAAGGGGCTGGAAGGGTGCTTTAGGTAAAGGAACAGTGTGTGCAGAGCCCCAGAGGGGAGAGAGCACGTAGCACTCATGGGGAACTGAGAGCTACCCATTGCTCAAGCACACACACAGTTTGACAGGGAGAAGCCAGAGAAGGCAGTGGAGCCCAGTCACAAGTGGCCTCATTAAGACGTTTAGACTCTATCCTGGGAGCAATGGGGAGCTATTGAATGATTTATAGCAGAGGAGGGGAGTGGCATGATCAGAGCTAGCTTTAGGAAGGATGGCTCCTGCAGTGAGGTGGGTCATCAGATTGAGGGGCCAAGAGTGGAGGCAGAGAGACCAACAGAGGCTCCTGTGAGTTCCCAGAAAGAGAGGATGTGGCCCAAACTAGGGTAATATCAAAGGGAATAGAGGGAAATGGAAGATTCAGGAAACACTTAGGAGGACAGGGGGTGATGATGGATATTCTCAACAAGACAGAAGTGCTGAGCTGAGGACAGACTGGCACCTTCAGGAGCCTCAGGTCTCAAGGGCTGAAATGACAGGCAAATCGGAGGATCCTAGTGTTTAACAAAGCAGGCCATCCTATCAAAATGTCCAAGTTCAAATTGTAGCTTCTCCACCAGTCACTAGCTTGAACAAGTCACTGTAAATTCTGTGTGCCTCAGTTTCTTCAACTGCACAGTAGGGATAATGTGCAACCAGGTTGCATATCATAAGTGCTCAGTAAGTAGTAGCTAAATCTTCTTTATTCTAGAAAATGAGGGAAGGGAACAGGCTCATTTGTCACTGACCCTGATAGGGAAAGGCTTGGACTTAAATCACCTGGAATGCAGTGGTGAGGGGACAGCTCTTCTAAACCACTTCCATTGGGCAGGGAGGGCGCTGAGCCCTGAGAGAGAGCAGCAGAAGTGGGGATGAGTGGCATTCTTAGAGACAAGGTGGGTGGGTGACTATAGGTGAGTCTTCTCTGGGGAAATGCTACTTTTAATCACAAATAAGCTATAAGGATTTCCTATGAAAAACTGCATTTCAGTGACTTGACTGTTCCTCTGATTAGTCCTGTCTGCTGTTTGGTTGCTGTCTTGCCAAAGAGTATTTTATCACCAAGATTTCCTTGCTCACTCTTATTTGCACTTTCTACAAGATAAATCTAAACTTCATCCTTTTTTCCACTAAAGCTACCTTTTTTTCCCTTTCCTATTCCAGATCCTCATTTTCTTAACAATAAAGAAATGTCTGATGTTACATTTCTGGTAGAAGGAAGACCATTTTATGCTCACAAAGTGCTGTTATTTACAGCCTCTCCAAGGTACGTATCATCGGTTTTGAAAGCAGCTGCATTATGACTTTGGCTGTTGCTATTACTATTTTTTGAAGTTCAATTTTGGTGGTCTCTTCGCCGGACTGGCTGGTCATCTTCACAAAATCAAGAATTCAAGAGTACAGGGAAGCTGCTAGCATAAACAACCTAGAACAAGGGGCCCTCTCCTCTGGGCACATAAAGGGGCCAGGGGGGCCGAGCTTTGGGAGCAGAACATGGATTGGATTTTGGCTCCCTCGGCTAGGTGGCCTTGTGCAGTGAACAACCTGAGACCCCCACACACAGGAGCCTTGAGACAGCCACTCTCCAAATGTCAGGGAACAGACTTTGGCATAAGCCACTGAAATTCACAGATCCTGACTTTACTTTTCCCTAACTGTGGAGTTAACAGACAGTAGTATCATGTAACAATAGGAAGAACTGCTCACCCTCTATGCCAGCTCTGCAACTGCCCTTTCTTCTCATTTTGAGTTGAGATTGGGTTGACAGTTTAGAACCACATTGTCCAGGGACCTGAACAGGGAGCAGTGAGGCTGGGGCGGAGGAGAGATTGATGCTGAAATGAGGAGGAGGCAGGAGAGAATGATGCTGAAATGAAGAATACCAAGCGTCCCAGCTGGGTGGCGAGCAGGGGGTCCCTGAGTTGGGTAAGGACACTGGGAACCCAGAAATGGAACTTCCTTCCAGGAAGTTTGCTAAGAGAATGTGTGTGACCAGCACTCCCTGCATTTCTAAAAGCATCCAGGAATCTCCAGTCCCCCCACCAAAACCAAACACAAACCCCAGATGTCTGCTTTGCCACTGCAAGAAAAATTTGTTTTCCCTTGCATAGTTTTCAGTCATGACAGCATAGACAAACCAGATCAATATTGTACCAATGTTATATTCTTAGTTTTGACAAAGGTACCATGGCTGTGTAACATGTTAACATTAGGGGAAGCTGGGTGAGGGGTAAACAGGAACTCTCTGTATTATCTTTGCAACTCTTCTGTAAATCTATAATTTCAAAAAATAAGTTTAAAAAAACAGACACATATCAGCTTATTCTTAAACATTATCCATGTGTTCCATTGATAAGATCTCTACCCACAAAGAGCTTTTAGTTTAGTTGATGGGCAGGAAAGTGCATTGAAAACCCAAGACAGAAAGTCACCCATAAGGGAGATGATTAGGTAGTCAACAAACATTGATTAAATATCTACAATGTGTCAGGTTCATACTGGGACAGGATGTGGGGATGTAGCAAAGACAGAAACCACTGAAGTCCCTGCCCTCATGGAGCAAAATGTGTTCCATGGGCACCCGAGGGGAGGGAGTGAAGCCATAGCCCTAGGCTCAGGAGAGATGCCATGAAGGTGGCGGCCACGTGACAGGCCCTGAAAGATGGACAGGGTTTAACAGGCACTCATTCTTTTCCAATCACCAGTTGGAGAAAGAATGTAATTGTTGAAAACACTGTTTTTTAACTTTAGAGTTTTAACTTCAAATTAGATTACGGTATAATAGGAGGGTTTAAATTAAGAAATGTAAGGATATACCAGTGCTATATTTCAGATTTGCAGGGGAAGAAACAAGGTATTTCCATTGTCAGGAGAGCAGAGTTTTTTGTGAGCCATGGATTTGTGTGTGAGTCTTTTTTATCTCTTTTTTATGTCCTTGTTCAGGTTCAAAGCACTCCTCTCCAGCAAGCCGACAAATGATGGCACCTGCATAGAGATTGGTTATGTGAAATACTCCATCTTTCAGGTGAGCCCCTGGTGTGGCCTGGCCTCTGTGCTGGTTGGCACAGGGCACAGGTGGTTGCCTCAGATCCTCAGCCTGAGGATTGGCCACTTGGAGAAGTCCTTGGAATGAGCTGTCAGTCTCCTGAACTCCCGGCCCCTCCTCACAGTGCCCCTTCCGTTTCCATCCATTCATCCCTGCAGCATTAACTGAGTGCCTGCTATGCCTGACACTGTGCTAAGGGCTGGGGACACAAGGATAAAGGATGTCCTCTCCTGGGGACTCAGAGTCTGTGGGGGGCGGGGACAGTGACTGAGTAATTGGTCAATTACAGTATACAGTAGAGTACTCGAGGCGTGAGCCAACATGCTGCAGCAACTCAGACCAGGGGAAATAGAGAAGACCTCTTGGATGAGGTCTTATGAGCTAAAACATCCAAGACTGAGAAGTTGGTGAGCCACAGGAAGGATAGGGCTCAAGAAAGTTGGTTAGAACATTCCAGACAAAGAGAACAGCATGTGCGAAGTCCCAAAACTTTGGTTGAGCTCAGCGTCATCAGGAGCTGCTGTACTTTAGGGAATTTGTATCATTTTAGCATTAGTCTAAATCTACCCCAATTAGGAAAGGAAGGCTTCCTGGTCCAAGGCCAGATGACATGACCATTTCTCCTTCTGTTTGGGGGGAGTTCATGCCATGAACAATGAGTTTTGGTTTATGTGGTTTTTCTGAGGAGCACCGCAGCTTTTTTCGCTTTTCCACCTTCCTTCAATTATGCCTGATTCATAAATCCTGCTCTGCAACAACGTTCTTGCAGCTAATAGAAATTCACTCAACTCCCCAGCCGGCTTTGCACCTGTATTTCTACAGCTCCAAGACCCTCCAGGCACATGAAGGCTGTGTAGTCCCCTTGATCCTGCCAGGCTGTCTTCCCATCTTCCAGGGTTCATAAGACAATGTGGGTGACCTGGGGATAGAGTTTATAGAATGCCTGTAATCCCAGCACTTTGGGAGGCCAATGTGGGCTGAGGTGGGAGGATCACTTAAGCCCAGGAGTTCTAGACCAGCCTGAGCAACATGGCAAAACCCTGTCTATTAAAAATACAAAAATTAGCCGGGCGTGGTCACACACACCTGTACTCCCAGTTACTCAGGAGGCTGAGGCTGGAGGATCACTTGAACCTGAGATGTCAAGGCGCAGTGAGCCATAATCGCACCACTGCACTCCAGCCTGAGCAACAGAACAAGACCCTATCTCAAAAAAAAAAAAAAAAAAAAAAAAGGTTTCCAAAGATAAGATAAGCCTGGGTGAGCTGTCCCCCTGAGGTCAGGAGAGTAGTGAGGAGGCTGGAGCCCCAAGGTGGGCCTGGGGAGTTGGCATACTCCAGACATCCAAGTGCCCATGTCCCCTCAGCCTAGGCCCTCCCCACCATTTTCTACTGAGAGCAAAGTGGTCATAGCCCTTTCCTGAATGGCAGCTGTTGGGTTGGAAAGCTGGGTTCCATGCAGCCGTGGCTTTGCTTTGGAGGGTGATGAGGAAATGTTTGTGGAGCCATGAGTAGTGAAGCACTGATCTGTGCTTACACGTGTTATCTGGATTGTTATTCCTTTTTTTTTTTTTTTTTTGTTGAGAGAGAGAGAGAGGGTCTGGCTCTGTTGTCCAGGTTGGTGTGTAGTGGCACAATCTTGGCTCACGGCAACCTCCACCTTCTGGGTTCAAGCCATCCTCCCACCTCAGCCTCCTGAGTAGCTGGGAGTACAGAAGTATTTCATCACACCCAGCTAATTTTTGTACTTTTTATAGAGATTGGGTTTTGCCATGTTGCCCAGGCTGGTCTCAAACTCCTGAGCTCAACCAATTCACCCACCTTGGTTGGCCTCCCAAAGTGCTGGGATTACAAGCATGAGCTACTACGTGTGGCATTATCTCCATTTTTGTAGATGAAGAAACTGAGGCCCAGAGAAGCTAAATGATGCGTCCAAAGTCTTAGTTCTAGTTAGCGATAGAGCCAGGATTTGAACCCAGCCTTCCTGGTAGCAAAGCGTGGGGACACTGTTCTAGAATACCCTTCCTAAATGGGAATGTGCTGAGAGTAAGAACAGTTCTCACATCTTGAGCACTGTGTGTAAGGCTCGAAGCCAGTGGTTCTGAACCTCAGCTGCACATTAGAATCACCTGGGAGCTTTGACAATTCCCAATGCCCAGGCTATACATCAGACCAATTAAATCAGAATCTAGCAGTGGGGCCCAGGCATCAGCATTTTGCGGTCTCCCCCACCTTCTCCCGGTATCCCAAAGTACAGCCAAGTTGGAGAACCTGTGCTCTCAGTTACAGAATTTCTTACACATTAGCAGCTCTCAGAATACCTGGAGAAGGGTGGGGTGCTTGTTAAAACACAGAGAACATTTTAAAATGCAGATTCCTAGACCCCACCCCAGAGTTTCTGATTCTGCAGGTGTGAAAATTCACATTTTAACCTTTAGTTTCAGGGGCACACGCGCAAGTTCGTTAAATTGTGTGTCATGGGGGTTTGGTGTTCTGATTATTTTGTCACCCAGTTAATAAGCATAGCACCCTCCTCCCACCCTTTACCCTCAAGCAGGCCCTGGTGGCTATTGTTCCCTTCTTTGTGTCCATGTGTACTCAATGTTTGGCCCCCACTTATAAGTGAGAACATGGATGCAGTACATGGATGAAGCTGGATTACAGGCATGAGATGCATAAGTTCAGGTCTCCAGCTCCATCCATGTTGCCACCAAGGACATGATCTCATTCTTTATGGCTGCATAGTATTCCATGGCACATATGCACCATGTCAAAATTCACTTTTTTTTTTTTTTTTTTGAGAAGAGTTTTGCCCTTGTTGCCCAGGCTGGAGTGCAATGGCGCAATCTCGGCTTACTGCAACCTCCGCCTCCCGGGTTCAAGTGATTCTCCTGCCTCAGCCTCCTGAGTAGCTAGGATAACAGGTGCCGCTTGGCTAATTCTTTTTGTATTTTTAGTAGAGACGGGGTTTTTCCATGTCGGCCAGGCTGGTCTCGAACTCCTGACCTCAGGTGATCCGCCCGCCTTGGCCTCCCAAAGTGCTGGGATTACAGGCGTGAGCCACTGCGTCTGGCCCAGAATTCACATTTCTAACAAGAACCCAGGTGCTTCTGCTGCTGCTCTGGGACCTGTCTCTGAGAACCACTGCTGCCCCTCACCTTATTTCATCCTTCCAGCTGCCCTGCGAGGTAGCCATAATCCCCACCTTACAGACAAGGGCATGCATTCAGAGAGGCGGAGTAAGTGGTCCAGGTTCCCGCTGCTGCTCCTAGCAGAGCTGAGGTTCAAACCCAGGCCTGGCTGACTCCCAGACCTGTTCTCTTAAATCCTCCCTTCTGTGGGCACCTGGGCCCCCCGCTAAACTCACCCAGCCCTGAGGAAAGAATCTTTCGGCCCATTTGTCTGGAGCATGAGCTGGAAGCTGGAAAATGCGTGTTCCCCCAGTGCTCATGAAGGGGGAGCTTACACTGTGAAGCCTGGGACTAACTGGGGAGGTTCCTGTAATAAGAACTTGGCTCGTAGTAGGCGCTCAATAAATGTTTGCCAAGCGGCCTCACTGAACGAGACCTCCATGGGAAACGGCAGTCCCCGGAGGAATCCCGAGGCCTGTAATTGCTTTTGACGGGGGAAGGTTTCCTGGCCACATTAGACTCGCGTTACTGTAATGGGAAGGGAAAATTTAACAGGACCCGGGGACTTTTCCGTGTGCCCGCCCTTTCCCCGTAAAAGAAGAAAAGCCTCATGTGTGGCTTGAAATAGGCCAAGGAGGGCTGAATGCGACCCAGCAGGAGGCTCCCAGGGGCCGGCTTACTTCAGTCCATGCTGACAGAAGAATTTTAGTAAATGAGCCTGCTTCGGGTCTCCTCCCCCAAGTCTGTTTAACATCACGCGCCGGCAAGGGCCGGACGCAGCTGAGGCTGCACCTGGAAGTGGGGGCCTCCGCGAAGCTGTGGGTGCCATTTGAATCCCTGCTTCATGCAGGTTGGCAGCTGCCAAGAAAAACAACTCCACAAACAGGCCCATTAGCCTAATAAGCGTTTGTTTCACCCCCTTGCAGAAAGGCTTGTGCCGGCAGAGTTTGAAGGAGGCCTAGGCCAGCCCAATTTAAATTCCATTAGCCCCGGGATCTCAGTCCACTAAGGAGCAGCGTTTCAAGTCAGCAGCCCCACCTGGAATATAGGAGACCACGTGCTAGAGAAATGCTTTATAAATGTTCAGGGCGGTCATTCTTAAGGCTCTTATTGTTATTTGTTTAGCCTTTGTAAATGAAAACTGCTAGGAGAATAAATTGATTTTAATAAGGCCCAATCCCAACATTTGCTGACTTGATATTTTAAATGCTTATGACCCATCAGGGTGGGAGAGGGGAGGGTAAACAATGCTGTGTTATTGCACAAATTCTCAGACGCCACCACCATCTCTGCGACAAGCAGATGGTCACAAGAGCCCAAAGCCGGTATGTGGGAGACTCAAACACAGACAGGCGAGGATTCGTGTTTATGGGTAGGGTGTACACACTGCAGTCTGTTTGCTTGCTGTGTGCCAAGCCCTGGGATACAGCGGTGGGCAAGACCTTGTTGTGCCCTCTGACTCTAGTGAGAAACAACACTGCAGTGGAGGATGATGCACGATTGCCTGATGTGACCTGTGGTGGGGTGGAGATCTGAGGAGGCGCCCCACTGCAGATGACCGCTGACTAGATCCAGAAGGAGCGGGCGGAGCTCAGTGGACAGAAGAAGGGGAGGGCATCCTAGCAGAGGGAACAGTGTGGGCAAAAGCACAGGACTAGAAGAGAGGGTGGGAGGTTCTGATGCAGGCAAGCGGTTGAGTGGTCCGAGCATAAAAGGCAACTTTTGGCCAGGCATGGTGGCTCACACTTGTAATCCCAGTGCTTTGGAAGGCCCAAGGGAGGAAGATCACTTGAGCTCAAGAGTTCAAGACCAGCCTGGGCAACATAGCGAAATCCCGTCTCTACAAAAAATACAAAAATTAGCCAGGTGTGGTGGTACACACCTGTAGTCCCAGCTACTCAGGAGGCTGAAGTGGAAGGATTGCTTGAGCCTGGGAGGCAGAGGTTGCAGTAAGCTATGATCACACCACTGCACTCCAGCCTGGGTGACAGAGTGAGGCCCTGTCTCAAACTAAAAATAAATAAATTAAAACATTAGCCAGGCACGGTGGTGCGTGCCTGTAGTCCTAGCTACTTGGGAGGCTGAGGTGGGGGGATTGCTTGAGACCAGAAGTTTGAGGTTACAGTGAGCTGTGACCACACCTCTGTACTCCAGCCTGAGTGACAGAATGAGACCCTGTCTAAAATAATAATGATAAATAAGAATTTCAATAAAGCTATAAACAGTATTTTTAAAATAACTTAAACACACATGCGAAAAGCAGTCTGAGACCAGTCGCAAAGACTTTCAGATGGCCTGGGTGAGAACAAGGCGGCATGTAGCAGAAACAAGGGAAAAGATTTTTCAGCCTCAGAGAAAATTCAAGAGCTGACATTTGCAGAGGACTTGCTATGTGCCAGGCCCCTGCTAGGCCTGTTCTATGCAGTTACTCATTTAGTCTTCATCACAATTCCATGAGGCAGGTAACATTATCCCCACTTCACAGATACGAAACTGAGACACACAGAGCCTAACTTAATTCAGGTCCCCCAGCTTTTAAGTGGCAGAGCCAGATCAGAAACTGAGGCAGCCCAATTCCAGGCTTATTGTACTTAGTGTCCTATATTGGTCACAGACTGAAGGGACTGAAGGGACCATTGAGGACAACCCAGTCCAGGCTCATTTTACAAGTACCCAAAAAAGGGAGGTAACCAGTCCGTAGATTTTGCCCACACAGCTGCCTTAGAGCCAGGGAGGTAAAGTGAGTTTGTCAAACATACAGGTAGAAGACAATAGGGGCCGGGCACAGTGGCTCATGCCTGTAATCCTGGCACTTTGGGAGGCCGAGGTGGACAGATTGCCTGAGCTCAGTAGTTCAAGACCAGCCTAGGCAACACAGAGAAACCCCGTCTCTACTAAAATACAAAAAACTAGCCGGGCGTGGCAGCGTGCACCTGTAGTCCCAGCTACTTGGGAGGCTGAGGCAGGAGAATTGCTTGAACCCGGGAGGTGGAGGTTGCAGTGAGCCAAGATCGCGCCACTGCACTCCAGCCTGCGTGACAGAGCAAGACCCCATCTCCACACACACACACACACACACACACACACACACAAAGACAATAGGAAGTAGAGGAGACTGGGACAAACCACCTAAAAAATTAACACCCAGTTGTCCTAGGAGATAAGATAGCAAAGTCAGATACATCCACGGGCCCCATTCCATTCAAGGGACACCAGTTTGCAAAGCTCTGGAAGTTTTGCCTGCTGTTTGGACATCGTGAGTCACATGAATAAAGAACATCCCGACTAGGGCCATTGACATCGTTAGTGATACACAGAAACCCTGGACCCCTCATGGCTTCACCATGGAGCTAGGCACATTGTAATAAGGAGCAGGTGGCCCTGTGGCATCCCAGAGTCACCCTCTGGGACTTCAACAGGAGGCTTTGAGTCAAACTGGGCCATGTTCGCAGGGGAACAACCCTCTGGTGCAGGTTCTTAAAGCCATGCCACGTGTACAGCAGTTCCGCGCAGCATGACTGGGGCGGGAGGTGGGAGAAGACCCCGTGATTATCATGAGTAGATGGAAAAGCCGTCATGAGGAGCAGCAGCTTAGGGTTGTTTAGTTTGGTCTTGGGGGTGGGCATGGAACTGGGGGTGGGAAAACATATGGAGACAAGTTTCAACAGGTATCAAACTATCTGACTGATGAAACTGTTCAAAATGGGCAGTCTTCTCCCCTTAAGGTAGTGAGCTCTTGGTCACTGGTGACATGGAAATGGGCAACCATTTGGAATGGATGTCCTAGAGGTCTCAGGAACTAAGCCTGAGTTGGGGCATCCACCGAATGGCTTTGAGATGATGCGTCTTTGCTGTTGACACTGTTCTCTGTGTTTTCTTCCAGCTGGTTATGCAGTATCTCTACTATGGTGGCCCAGAGTCACTGCTCATTAAAAACAATGAGATCATGGAGGTAAGGGATCCATTGTGGTGTTGGCTATCATAGGTCCCTTGGGTGAGTGGCACTTCTGTAAACTCGGGTCACCAGCCTGCATGGAAGTGTCTGGAAGGACCCGTGTTGGGTTTTCATTTGGATGAAGACTTGGGGCTCTTGTTCCTTCCTGACTCCTCAGTCCTCCCAAACAGGAAGGGCTTCTCATCAGAGACCTTCCCTGGCAGGCTGGGGTGCTAGTGCACTTGCTTGCCTGACTGCTTTTAGTAGCCACTGAGTGAAACCCAATTTTAACTGGCATTGGTGGTAAGGGGGCAGGGAAGGGAAGGAATTTGACTGAAAAGTCTGAGGCTACAGCTGAGGCGTTAATAGTGATATCATCAGGAAATATCCTAGATGACGTCTTCTCCCTTGTCACTAATAAAAGAATTATATCCCCTAAAAACATCCCTCAAATCACAACACTGTCTGTTCTTCCAAGATATAGAAGCTGAGGGCAGATTACAGTCTCCTCCTGGCTTTCCTCAAACTGAGCATCCCACAGTCATGAAGCCCACGCCTGCTTCCTTCACTCTCCCCAGCCCCCTGTCTGCCTCTTGTAATTCAACTGGTTCTAGCCCCGCCTGTCTAGGAGTCTTGTTTCTGCCTGCTTTTGTCCAAAGCCAAGATTTTCCCCTGTTCCTTGCCAAAAGTGGAAATCTTGTTCATTTTCCTAATTGAAACTGGGAGCTTTGAACCAGAAGCCAAAAATCACCCCCAATTAATCCTCAGCAAAAGAGCCAGGATCTCGGTCAGTTATCTGACGTCTGGGGGGTACCTGGCTGATGAGAGATGTCAGGACACAATCAACTGTTCAAGAGCAGACCTCACACAGTGGTTACAACACGGAAGCTGGGCCAGACTAGTCTAAATCCAGGCTCCACTGCTTCTGAGCTGTGTGACTGTGGACAAGTTATTTAACCTCATATCCTCAGCTTCCTTACCCATAAAATGGGGATAACTATCTACCTCACTGGGTTTTTTAGAGGATCTTAAAATATGCTAAGGTGCTTAGAACAGTGCCTGGCACACAGTGATCGCCAATAGGACTATGTATTCACTGCAGGCCCACTTATCCTTTCTTCCTATTCTGTGAAACCTTCCGTGGTCACTCTCTCCCCACCCAAACACACACATGGACACACAGTGACTCTCTTGTCTCCCTGGACTACTCCTCTGATGGTTTTAGTCTCGAGGATGTGGGCTTATTTGTAAACAAAAGTGCGCTGGTGTTTACAACTAATTTTTGTGTGTGTGTGAAACAGTCTCACTCTGCCCCCAGGCTGGAGTGCAGTGGTGCAATTTCGGCTCACTGCAACCTCTGCCTCCTGGGTTCACACCATTCTCCTGCCTCGGCCTCCCGAGTAGCTAGGATTACAGGCACCTGCCACCACACCCAGCTAATTTGTTGTATTTTTAGTAGAGACGGGGTTTCACCATGTTGGCCAGATGGTCTCGAACTCCTGACCTCAGCCTCCCAAAGTGTTGGGATTACAGGCATGAGCCACTGCACACGGCTGTTTACAACTAACTGATCACAACCAGTTATGGATTTCTGTATTCCTTCTCCACTCCCACTGCTTCATTTGTCTAGCCTTAACAAAAATAAAAATAAAAATAATTTTAACTAAAAATAAGGAATGTACATTTAAATCATTTCAATCATATAGAAGAGTTTTGAATACAAAGCAGCTGCCCGGGCCCACCCTGCCCTCCCTCCAGTCCCCGTTCCCAAAACCAGTCCTTTGAACTCTTGCTCTTAGCTCTTTCCCCTCCCAAAAGCCTGTCGTTCTCTCAACACACATCTGTCGAGCATCTCCGAGGCCGGCACCGTGCTCAGGGCCAGGTTACAGCAGCGATGAAAACCGACACAGATCCCTGCCCTCCTGGACTCTATTGAGGGAGGCAGACATGACGTCACATCTGGTGTGCTGTGACTCTGAGGAGTGAGACAGGGCAAGGAGGAAAGGAGGACAGATGGGATAGAGGGAGGCTCCTCTGAGGAAGTGACATTTGAGTGGAGACCTGGACAACAGAGTGAGACACCTTGATATCCATCTTGCTGATAATACCCTGATTTTCACCCTTATTTCTGGACATAACAATTTTGGGCATTTTGGGTTGACCGCCTGCTGTGATGGGTATGAATTGAGTTTGCTTGGTCCTCCCCTCCCCCTCCCGCTCCCCCGTCTTCCCCCACAGTGGAATCCTATCTTTGTCCTTTTCCTCTAGTGTTACCTTTGTGCATCATTTCCCGTCCCCTACCTGTGACACTGCTGTGGAAGGTGAAGATGAGGACTGTCTCACCACTATAGTTCCTTATTGTTACCTCCTTTCCATCCACCTCCCAGCCTCTAACAGACTCTTTTTGTGATTTTTAGCTTCTGTCTGCTGCTAAGTTTTTCCAGCTGGAGGCTTTGCAGCGACACTGTGAGATTATCTGTGCGAAAAGCATCAATACCGACAACTGTGTGGATATTTACAACCATGCCAAGGTAATCAATCTCATTCTCGCGCAGTGCGCACACAGGAGCGCTGAAGCCGGGGAGGCTTTTCCTTGGCAAACACAGAGGCAGGGCAGAGAGTGGGTGCTGGGCCAGTTCTCTCAGGGCTAAGCCGCTGGCCTCTGCCAAGGTCTTGCTTCCTGCCTTAGAAAAGATGCCTTCCACCTCCCCTCCAGAACAAGGAAAGTAGGAGCCCAGAAGTTTCAAAGGCAGAGTTCTCAAACAGTGCTTCTTAGACTCTCATGTGCATATGACTCACATCACAGACTCCAATTCCACAGGCTGGGATGGGCCCTGTTTGGCTTTTCTAACAAGCTCCCAGGTGATGTCTCTGCTGCTGGTCTAAGGTACACCTTCTAAGGTTCTAGAACAGTGGCTGTCCAATCCAGCAACATCAGGGAACTTGTCGGAAAGGTACATTTTCAGGCTGTACCCCAGACCTACTGAATCAGAAACTTGAGGGGGGACCCAGCCACCTGTGGCTTTGCATGCCCTCCAGCTGATTCTGATGTGTGCTCAGGGGTGAGAACCGCCCTTCCAGAATTGTTCTCAATGCCAGCTGCAAGTTAGAATCACCTGGGGACTCACTTAAACTTCCTGTGCCTGGGACCCATCACAGACTCATCAAATCAGCCTCTGGGAGTAGAACCTGGAAAAAGGCATCTTTCAAAGCTTCCCAGGTGATTCTCAGATGGGGCCAAGATTGAGAACAGGCTGTAAGCACTGCTGAAGTCTTTGGAGTCTGCTTAATCAGGCAGACCCAACACCTGGCTACTAATTAGAATCACCTGGGGGAGCTTGCTGAATGCCAGTGTAGTCCCCCACCCCCGATGACCTCAGCAGTAGCCCCTCAGGGAGCCCAGAAATCTATATTTTTAACAAGCTGCTAGAGTGACATCAGCTCTCAAACCAGTCTTCACTCCAGTTTTCAGTAACCACTGATTTCATCCAATTCACTTCATCAGTGGGGAGACTGGGCCCAAGAGAAGTAAAATACTTTGTCCAGGTACCACTGCATTTTGTTCCACGTGCTGAGCACAGGGGGGATTAACAGTTCCAGCAGGAAACAATAAAACCAGTTAAGATGAGGAGTTAGGTTGTTTTATTTATTTATTTATTTTTATTTATTTTTGAGATGGAGTTTCACTCTTGTTGCCCAGGCTGAAGTGAAATGGTGCAATCTAGGCTCACTGCAACCTCCTCCTGGGTTCAAGCAATTCTCCTGCCTCAGCCTCCCAAGTAGTTGGGATTACAGGCATGAGCCATCGCACCCAGCCAAGATGAAGAGTTATTTTATTTTAGGAGTTTAAAACAAAATTTTCCGTTTGGTATAACTGGAGCCCAGTACACATGACTCCCATATCACACACAGCTCTGGACAGTGACAGTGCACGTGAATGACGCTCCTATTGCTTGTTGTGAAAAATCAGATTGCATTGGCCGGGCACAGTGGCTTATGCCTGTAATCCCAGCACTTTTGCAGGCCAAGGCAGGTGGATCACGAGGTCAGGAGATCGAGACCATCCTGGCAAACACGGTGAAACCCCGTCTCTACTAAAAATACAAAAAAATTAGCTGGGCATGGTGGCGGGCGCCTGTAGTCCCAGCTACTCAGGAAGCTGAGGCAGGAGAATGGCATGAACCTGGGGGCCAGAGCGTGCAGTGAGTGGAGATCGCGCCACTGCACTCCAGCCTGGGCGACAGAGCAAGACTCTGTCTCAAAAAAAAAAAAAGAAAGAAAGAAAAGAAAAATCAGATTGCATGTGAGATGCTACTTGCTTGTCTTAAGACAGCATTCAGTGAGCCCTTTTAATGTGCAGGCACCTGTGCTAAGAGCCTTGTTGCATCTTGTTTTTTAATCTTCACTACAACCCTTTTAGGTGAATGCTACACTAGTCCCATGTCATAAGGAGACCGAAGCACAGAGAGGTGAAGTAATTTGCTTAAGGTCACACAGCTAGTAATGAGATTTCTGTATTATGGTAAAATGTACATAACATAGAATTTGCCACTTTAACCATTTTTAAGTATACAGTTCAGTGGCATTAAGTACATTTGATTGTTGTGCAAGTATCACTACCGTTCATCTATAGAATTTTTTCATCTTTCCAAACTGAAACTGTACCCTTTAAACACCAAATCCTCATTCCTCCCCTCCCCCAGGCCCGGGTATTTACCATTCTACTTCCTGTCTCTATGAATTTGACTACTCAAGGGGTGTCACATAAGTGGAATCATACAGTATTTGTCTTTTTGTGACTGATTTATTTCACTTAGCATAATGTCCTCAAGTTTCATTCGTATAGTAGCACGTGTCAGAATTTCTTCTTTAAGACTGAATAATATTTCATTGCATGTACATGCCATATTTTGTTTATTCATTCACCTATCAATAGACACTTTAGTTGCTTCCACTTTTTGGTTATTGTGAATAATATTGTGTTGCTATGAACATGGGTGTACAAATATCTGTTCAAATCCCTGTTTTTTGGGGTTTTCTTTGTTTTTGTTTGTTTGTTTGTTTTTTAATCTTGCTCTGTTACCCAGGCTGGAGTGCAGTGACATGATCTCAGCTCACTGTAACCTTTGCCTCCCAGGTTCAAGCGATTCTCCTGCCTCAGCCTCCCAAGTAGCTGGGACCACAGGCATGCGCCACCATGCCTGGCTAATTTTTGTATTTTTAGTAGAGACAGATGCTTGCCATGTTGGCCAGGCTGGTCTTGAACTCCTGATCTCAGGTGATCCACCAGCCTCAGCCTCCCAAAGTGTTGGGATTACAGATGTGAGCCACCGCGCCTGGCCTCAAATTCCTGCTTTCAGTTATTTGGGGGTATATTCCCAGAAGTGTAGTACTGAGATTTTTGAACTCAGATTTGTCTCACTCCAAAGCACAGGTTCTTAACCCTGTGTTTACTGTCTGGCTTAATAAATGTTGGAAATATTTTCAATAATCCTTGATACTCAAGATTTTCTGCTTGGCTATCAGTAAATCAAAAAGTACAGTCAGTCTACATTGTATACACACACACACACACACACACACACACACACACACACACACACAGTGTTCTAGTTAAATGAGGATTATACCAAAATCTGGTTTCTCAGGACACAAGCATTTTTTTTTTAATCTTAAACTGATTACTTTGCAGAAGAGAGGGCTCTCTCTCTCTCTGTACCAAGGCAGAGAGCCTGATTAGCCTTGTGCTCTTCTGCCCTCCTCCTTGACCATGGTCACTCAAATTGCCCCATGAACTTGACATCCACAGTGGCTTTTCTGTGGCCTACCACCTTGGCAGTGAGGCCTGTGTTTCACAATCCCATTTTAATCTCTTCAAGTTCGTTGTCAGGCAGCTTCTGTAGCATATCTCGTGATTTACTAATGTCGCCTGATGGGATGTGAGCCCCGGCTGGGAATACAGGCTTAGAACACCTATGGCAGAGAAACTGCCTCTTTCAAATATATATATATATATATACACCTACAAACACCCCTTTGCAGACAGGGCTTTGGCTTTTACAGACAACAGCTCTGCCTCCGCCTTCCCAGCCACTACCTGGAGTGTTTCCAAGAGAAATATCTGCCCTTTATGATAGTCACTTGGAGGGCAGGGCAAAGCCAGCTGCCCCTGTCCTTTCTGTGCACTGCTTCCCCTGTGCTGTGGATGCTGCAGCCCGCTAATGGTCACACACCATGTGGATTTGATTACTGGCAGATTGTGCTGCAAATAGAGGCTAATTTAGTAAAAAGAGTGGTAAAGAAAGAAAACAACACTTGCGTTTGTAACTCCAGGAAATACAGGCGTTTAGATGCTAAGAGCCACGTTCCAAATGTCAACCAGGACCTCCGCAACGTTACCTCTGTATTACATCTAACCGTTTGAGACAGCTGTGGGATTTTATACAGAGGAGAAACCCATTCCACAAATGCATGGCTTAGCCAGCTCTTTTTTCCTAGTAAACCTGTCCCAAACTATTCAGTCATGAAAAGAGGCCCTGGAGCTTCCTGTGGCCCTTTCAGGGTGTCTCTTGAGAAAAAGAACAAGCTGGTTCATCAGATTGAATCTCAGCTGTTGTGGTTAAGTTCAACAGTGCATCATGATGGAAAGAACACAGGTTTGGAAACCAAAGGATTTATTCGCTAGTGTTATTGAGTAGCCAGCATTTCCTAGGAGCTGTATTCATCAGAATATAATAAGAAATTAGAGGAGCTGGGCACAGTGGCTCATGCCTGTAATCCCAGCATTTTGGGAGGCTGAGGTGGGAGGATCACTTGAAGCCAGGGGTTTGAGACCAGCCTGAGCAACATAGTGAAACCCCATCTCTATTAAAAAAAATACAAAAAAAAAAAAAAAATAGCCGGACATGGTGGCGCACACCTCTAGTCCCAGCTACTCAGAAGGCCGAGGCAGGAGAATCACCTGAGCCCAGGAGGTCAAGGCTGCAGTAAGCAGAGATCATGCCACCGTACTCCAGCCTGAGCCACAGAGTGAGGCTCTGTCAAAAAAAAAAAAAATTAGACATGGTCTCTGGCCTTGAAAAAATTATAATCTAGGACAAGGTTCAGCAGACATGTTCTGTAAAGGGCCAGCTAAATATTTTCAACTTTCCAGACCACACAGTTGGCTTTGTACCTACTTAATTTTGCAAAAGGAGCCAGAGAATATGTAAATGAATGGTATGGCTGTGTTCCAATAAAACTTTATTTATAAAAACAGGTGGTGGCCCACATTTGGCCTTCAGGCCTATAGTTTGCCAACCACTAGTCTAGGGAATGAGAGCTCCAATCCCAGTTCTGTTAGTAATTAGTTGTGTGGAGATAGGCCAGAGGCTAATATACAGTCACCATTCAATAAATACTATCAAATATTATCAATGTAGCTATATATTATGCTTTTATTTTCCACTAACTTGTGCCGAATGACACTAATATACAAAGCAAGTGCCAGGTGTGCTGGTGGGGGGTGCTGTGTCCTCAGAATCAGATAGGCAACTCGGAGCCTCAGTTTCCCCACCTGTACCAGGAAGCTTTGTACTCTGTGATTCTAAGAGCAGGATTCATGTTGAAAGAATGAAAAGATTTCTAAGCCAGGTGCAGTGGCTCACACCTGTAATCCCAGCACTTTGGGACGCCCGCCTTGGTGGCTGAGGCAGAAGAATCACTTGAACCCGGGAGGTGGAGGTTGCAGTGAGCCGAGATCATGCCGCTGCGCTCCAGCCTGGGCAACAGAGCGAAACCCTGTCTCAAAAAAAACAAAAAAAAGAATGAAAGGATTGCTAAGATCTCTTCCAGCTCCAGGATTTGTGCATCTATATGGACATTTGTGGGATAACTAGCCCACTCACTGATAAACTTCATCAAGCTTTATAAGCCTCTTGGAGGCCACAGAATTACCACATGCATCCCTGTCCTAAATGGCACAGCAGAGCACGATACCCCTGTAGTCCACCCCCTTGCTTTTGTAACTTGGAAAACTGAGGCCCAGAGAAGTGATTTGATTGGCACAAGGCCAAGGAGTGGAGGAATGGACTCTAACCCTTTGATAGCATGAGCCGCAAAGTCATACCCCATGGGTGTGTGCTGGGGAATCAGAGACATTCTGCAGCCAGTCTTCCTTAGCAGGTGTGTGCCATCATTAGCTCTGAAGGCATAATCTGAAAGGTGCTTTTCGGAAGCGTAACCATCTCCCATTTCCTCTCCACTCTCCACAGTTTCTTGGAGTCACAGAGCTCTCAGCATATTGCGAAGGCTACTTTCTCAAAAACATGATGGTCCTCATTGAAAACGAAGCATTCAAGCAGCTCCTGTATGACAAAAATGGTGAAGGGACCGGCCAGGATGTGCTCCAGGACTTACAGAGGACGTTGGCCATCAGAATTCAGTCCATCCACTTGTCGTCTTCCAAAGGTTCCGTGGTATGAAACGCCTAGTGCAGGGAATGCTTCCCGGGAACTTTCCAGTTCTCCTGCCGCATTGGCTTTACACAAACACAGACAAATTCCACCTGGCACCTGTTTTTGGCTGGGCCAAGGAGCTGCCTCTACTGCTCCCACGTGTTCCTGTTGAAAAACAAAGGACTTTCCACTGGTCTGCAGATCAGATCAGCTGGGTCCAGAGTTTAATGGGCAACTGGACAACCAAGTTAACCCCAATTGAAAGCACCCCTAGGACCATTGAACACCCACTGCCGGGGACCACTGTCCAGTGAATGGATTGAGGCCTTTTAAAGGTCACTCAGGTTCCAGGTTGACAGTTGGAGGACTTCACCGTACCAACCCTGAAGAGATTGTATTACACATTAAGGACCTTGGTAGCTGTGCTTCAGCAAACGTCAACCATGGTAGCAAATTGGTGAGGCTGTGACCAATAATGAGGAAATAATCTGGCAAATTTTTAGGGGTGGGAACTTTTTTAAATGTTCATTTAAAAAAAAACAAAAACAGGGCAGTCTTGTAGTTTAAAATATATTTCTAAAAGCTTAACAGTTCGTTTTCAACTAAATTGTGTTTAGGGATCTGTGTTTGAGATTTTTCTTTATTTCTTTTTTTTTTTTAAATAGTAAGTCACAGGTCCACACTGTGTAAACATGCATCTGATAAGATACTGCTGATATTCTAAACAAGTTGAAATAATCTTGCCTTAGTGATCATGATTACACAAAAGAGGTGCACTGCCAATAAGTATCTCTAATTCAATAGTTGAAAGCAACCTGCATGCTAATCGTGGTTTCGGGGTGAGAATAAAACACCCCCACATAACATGCATTTGCATGGGCCCGAACCTGTGAAATGTTACGTTTGTGCTTCATTTTTGCCAAGGTAAAAATGTTCCATCATTTCTAGCTAAAACTCCATTTGGTGAAACCAACATATCCATTTCTTTTCCTAGTTACGGATGATTTGGGGATGCTTTTGCAGAAATGTGTTCATAGATGATGCTGAATGGGGGAGGGGGGCAGCACGTCAGAGAATTTACTATTAATCCCAGAGTTTTCTCTGTATTCTCAGAAGATGTTAATAGTTTGTTACTAGCCAGAGAGTATGACTATGTTAGATTATTTTTAAAGATGAAACATGTATGATAGGATGGATTCTTTCTGTATTCTGAGAGTGTACAGTACAGGATTATTATAATGAAAGTTTATATCAACAGGGTTTCGTTGGCTCTGCCATATATTATAAGCAAAAGAGATTGGTAAAGTGCCACAGTATTCCAGATAACTTTTCAGTTGCGGCCTTTCTTCTCGTTCTTTAATTTGAAACCTAGATACATGCAGTAAAAACTAGGAGAATGACTTTTACCCTTGGGGACAGCCAAGTTTTGTTGATAAACCTATTTCCTAGCATGCCTTCAGGAAGTTGTGCCAGACCCTAGATTGTGAAGGACCCACTGTTCTTCTGTTGTACGAGCTCCCTGAACCATTGTTCAGAGGACCAATGTCACATCGCTTCATGGGCATGGCCCATGGAGCATCTGGGTGATATCTGTCTACAGTATTGGCTCTTCTGCGAGGCTGATACACAAGGCCTCTCTTCCACATGATCATTTGCAAACCTCCCCCAGCCCCTACCATCCAATGTGGAAGGAAAACAAGAACTGCCTGAAGAAGAGTCCAAGCTACAGATACACAGCGTGTGCATTGCGGCTGTCACCTTCCTCCTCCCACTTCTGTATCCTCAGAGATGCTGCGTGGATGTTTCCTTAACCTCAGCTGACTTCCCTGTGAATGTCTAATGCTAGTTCAGGGCCTCCAGGCATTGATTTGTACAGTGGTAACTCCCAATGAGGCTTCTGTTATCATTTGGTGTGCTTTCTCTGTCATTAAAAGAAATGATTTTCCCAGGCCGTGCATCGTGTGTGTGGTTTGAGTGGGCTCTTTATCCCAATAGTTCAAGCCTCAGAACTTCACTCAGTGAAGAGATTGGACAATGTGGCCCTGCAGAAAAAGCCAAGGGAAATGAAGATGCTAGATAAAAGACAAATGTTCCTGTTGCTGGCGATGTGGCAGCCAAGCCCTAGTCCCCATGGTGCATACACTTCTGAGTGACACCCTTGGATCTTTTTCTCATCAGGCAGAGAAGCTACAGGTGCCGCCATCTGGCCACCAAGGTAGCACTGCCTAAGGCAGAGAACTCGCCTGCAGAGGGTGGAGTTCTGGCTGTTACTCATGTGCCTTGATGACACTTTTTGAGGATGGGGGAATGAGAAGGACAAGTTATCTCCACATGGTGTGTCCCCACCAAGGGCCAGCATGAGCTGGTGCTAGAGGATGGTGGCAGCATTATGGGATGGGGGTGGGGGTCATGGAGGGGCAGGCAGCTCTCTTCTTGGGTGTCATCATTGCTGAGGTCAAACCAAGTCCCCAGCAGCTGTGCTGTGGCTCCTGACCCAGCCTGGGCCCAACCCAGGCATGTGTGCAGATAAATCCCCCTGGCCAATCCACAAAAACCTACAAGCAGGTCAGGGGAGAGGCCCAGCCAGCCCTGGGAGACCTGGGCCATTGAGGCCCGGTAGAGAGCTCACATTGCCCCACCTCCCGGAAATGACTGCTCAAGCCCGCTTAGCAATCCAGGTCTGTTCCTTCTTTAGGAAGCAACCAAGTGCCAGGGGCCAGAACTGTGAGTCAGGCCAGGAAAGCAGAAGGTCGTTTTACTTTTGACTGTGTGTCACCCTCGGTGTAGCCTCACGGTGAGTAGGCATTTTTGATGTATTGCTTTTAGAATGATAAAGTGCATGCTACCCCATTTGCCTTTTACTTGTCTGACAGGTGGCTTTGACATTCACGCCTCAGCAAAGTCCGTACAAGGGCCCATTAGCATCTTAGGGTGTAGAGGAAAGCGCGGGGGGCGGTGGGGGGCTGCCTGCCACAAGTTCTCTCCACCCCTTCTATTTGCCATGGGACACCGGAAGGATTGTGTACGTGCAGCCGCCCCCAAGAAACACAAGGACATGACTTAGCTTCTGTGCCCACCCCCATGGCCATTGGTCTTACATATACCATACCTGGATATCATTCATTCTCCTCAAAAGAAGGAGAATCCACTCAAAATGAACATCAGGATGTGAGCTCCCATCATGGAGATGCCCAGGCAGAAACCAGAAGACGATGCAGTCAGGCATGGGGGCGGGGTTGGAGGAGGAGCTCTGGGACCTCCTCTGCACTGAGATTCTGTGATTCTGCTTTTGTTCTGTGTTCCCCGTTCTGCGATTCTGCTTTTGGATCTCACATTGTTTCTTCCTGTAAAGCCCTTGGCAAAAAGTGCTATCCGACTGTATGTTGTCATACCAAGACTTTCATCACACAGTGTTTTGCCAACATCAGACTGTGCGGATAAAGGGTTCTTTGAGAAAATCTATTTCACGAGTCTTGGGTCCTCTGCCTTCAGAATTCAGCACCCACCTCCCTCCACCCCCACCTTCAGTCACAGACGAATGAATAGTCGCAGAAGTGCTCACATCCTCCCGCTTCTAGTTCTTTCTGCCTAGCCCCTACACAGTCTCCAAGGCCAGCAGTTTCCTGGGTTTCTCCACTCAGGGAGACATCTATTGCGCACCTTCTGTTGGCAGCACTGATTGCTGAGCCCTGGACTCCAGCACAGACGTGAAAACCCTGTTCCAACTGGATCCAACCCCTGACTAGCTTTGAGACTTTGGACAAGTTACTTACTCTATCTAGTATTCACCTTCCTCTTTCAAAAAAAAAAAAATGGGTTTAACTATAACTAGTGGCCGGCCGCTGTGGCTCACGCCTGTAATCTCAACACTTTGGGAGGCCAAGGTGGGCAGATCACTTGAGATCAGCAGTTCAAGACCAGCCTGGCCAACATGGCAAAACCCCATCTCTACTAAAAAATACAAAAATTAACGGGGCGTGGTGGCAGGCACCTGCAATCCCAGCTACTCAGGAGGCTGAGGCAGGAGAATCGGTTGAACCTGGGAGGCAGAGGTTGCAGTGAACCAAGATTGTGCCACTGCACTCCAGCCTGGGCAACAGAGCAAGACTCCGTCTCAAAAAGGAAAAAAAACAAAAAACAAAAACCTATAACTAGTGAATAGTGGTGTTGGGAGGATTAAAGGAGATATTTTGTACGAGTCCCACACTGTTAGTAGCAGGGAAAAGGCTTTTCTAAACTTCTAAGACTGAGCAGAAGGAAGGGGAAATTGATGATTCATACAAGGAAAGGAAGGCTAATGACTTTGCCTTCATTTCTAGAACTTTCTACAGCAGCGGTTCCCATGGTGATTTGTGATTCTCTAGGGTTTTGCTACTTATTCCGAGGAGTATAGGGAAATTCCCCCCAAACTGAGCTCTTTTGTGATTCTAGTTCCTAGCACAGTGCTTCACACAAAGTAATCAAGAAATGTTTGCAAATGGAAGCCAAGTACACCTGGATTTCCTTTCTTATAAACATCATATTTTCAAAAGATTAGAGTTGCAGGGATTCACTCTTCCAAATTTCTTGTCTACACAGGAATGTGAGATTCACATGTGTGACTTGGATGACACGAGACTCCCATGGTGTGTGTCTAAGGTCCAAGACCCCACAAATGGCTGAGCAGGGCCCACGCCCGCCAGAGCCAACTCTCAGTCCAGGGCTTGAGGACCACAGCTCTGTGGAGAGGGAGAGGGTAGCCACAAACCCCCAAATGAAACAAACTGCTAGATATCCCTCCAGAAAAATCTGGGACTGCTGTCCTCATCAAGTTAGTAGGCAAACCCATATGCCCTGTGCTGCCACTTGAGTGTGTGGACACTCATCCCCCACCCCTCCACCAAGAAACCTCCCTGGTGGAACTTCACGTCACCTCTGTTCCTCCCAGCCTAGCCAATGCCTTGAATAAAGCAGCACGTGCCTTTGGCCGGGGCCATTGCAGAAGCTGCTATGATGCCTATTTTTTCCACCCTCTTTAAAAATAACCCAACAGATTTTGAACTTCCTGCTTGGCAGAAAAAAATAGAACTCATACTCAGCAATCACATTGCGCTTTAGTTCCCATCACTGATGAGGCAGGCAGATAACGAGTGCCCTGTGAAAGGACACATCTCCAAGTTTAGCCCTGAATCTGAAAAGACAATCTGTCTGCGTGAATAGGCAATTAGAAGACATGCCCTGATGTCATTGGTGCGTTCTTTGGATGTTGCTTTTCAGAGCTAACCTTCAGATGAGTTCTGAATTTTAATGCTACGGAAAACCTCTGGGATGAAGAGCTACAAAGGGAAGAGGCTGATTGGTACAATGGAGGGGCTCTGTGCTGGGCACCACATCTCACCCCTGACCCTGAATCTGTCATCTGCTACCTGGGTGACCTTGGCCAGGCCTCTTCTCCATCTGGACCTGTTTCCTCAACTCCTTCTGACTTGATGTCCTGTGGGCCTAGACTGGAACCTGTCACACTCTCCTTACCACACTCCTATATTAGAACCTTGTGAGAACATCATTTTGTGTAATAGAACATTCCAGATTGCATCCAGGAGGATTTAGCAAAAGGGACCTTTTTCATCATTTCACAATGATGCCTTCAGCAAAACAGGCTCCCAGCAGGAAACCAGATAAAAGCGTTAGAATGAGGCTTCACCTATCTCACCATGAAGATGGCATCTCTCTAGATCATTGCTACATGACTACCATCTCCTTTTTGGTTTGGGGTTTTTTTTTTTCACTTTTTATTTTGAAACAATTACAGATTCGCAGGAAGTTGCAAAGATAGTACAGAGTAACCCAATGGTAACATCTTAGATAAATTTAGTACAATATCCAAACCAGGAAGTTGACATCGCTACAATGTGTGTGTATGGTTCTGTGACATCTTGCCACGTGTGGATTCGTGTAACCACCACCACTGTCACTCTTCCCTCACCGCAAAGATCTCCCTCATGCTACCCCTTTGGAATCACTCTGGCCCTTCCTCCACCAACTTCATCCCAAACCCCTGGCAACCATTAATCTGTTTTCCATCTCTATAGTTTTGTTATTTCAAGAATGTTATGTAAATGAGACCATATAGTAAGCAGCCTTTGGAGATTGGTGTTTTTATTATTATTATTATTATTGACACACGGTTTCATTCTGTCGCGCAGGCTGGAGTGCAGTGGTGTGATTTCAACTCACTGCAACCTCCGCCTCCCAGGCTCAAGAATCCTCCCGACTCAGTCTCCCAAGTAGCTGGAACCACAGACATGAGCCACCATGCCCAGCTAATTTTTATTTATTTATTTATTTATTTTTGTAGAGATAGGGATTTTACCATGTTGCCCAGGCTGGTGTCAAACTCCTGGGCTCAAGCAATCCTCCCACCTCAGTATCCTGAGTAGCGGGACAACAGGCATGCACCACCACTACCAGATCACTTTTTAAAAAAATTTTCTGTAGAGACAGGGTCTCGCTATGTTGCCAGGACTGGTCTCAAACTCCCGAGCTCAAGCAATCTGTCTGCCTCAGCCTCCCAAAATGCTGGGATTACGGGTGTTAGCACCTCAAACGGCGAGACTGGCTTTTTGCACCCAGCAGAATGCCTCAGAGACCCATCCAAGGAGCCTGCACGTATGGAATGCTTGTTCCTTTTCATTGATGAGTAGCATTCCCCGGTATCCTGTCACCTTTTAACCAGAGAGAGACAGGGGCTTTCTCTGTCACCCAGGCTGGATTACAGTGGCGTGGTCACGGCTCACTGCAGCCTCAACCTCCCCAGGCTCAAGCTATCCTCCAACCTCAGCCTCCAGAGTAGCCACAGGTGGAAGCCTCCACGCCTGGCTAATTTTTTTATTTTTTGTAGAGATTAGGTCATACTATGTTGTCCAGGCTGCTCCCAAACTAGGTCTTTCTGTAATTGATGACTTCTAGACATCTCACTGATGGTGTAGGGCAGTGCTTCTCGAATTTGTTAAAATGACTCCATGGGGCTGGGGTGGGGCTTGAAATTCATTGTTTCTAACAAGCATCCCAGCGCTGCTGCTGCTGCTGCTGGTCCAGGGACCTCACTTTGAGTAGCAAAGGTGTGCAGTCTGGAAGTCAGAGATTCATCTCAAACCCTTTCTGCTGCCAGGCCAACCTGTGACACTTGTTCTGTCACCTGGCCTTTCTGGAGTCTCAACCTTGAGGGTTATTACGAGCCTTTCTTTCTGACCCAGGGGAGACGTTTTCACAATGCATCTGAAAAAAAATCATTTGAAATTCTATCTTCCAAAACCAAACACCGCATGTTCTCACTCATAAGTGAGAGATGAACAATGAGAACACATGGACACAGCAAAGGGAACATCACACACCAGGGCCTGTCGGGGGGTGGGAGCAAGGGGAGGGAAAGCATTAGGACAAATATCTAATGCATTCGGGGCTTAAAACCTAGATGACAGGTTGATGGGTGCAGCAAATCACAGGAAGGAGAACATCAGACACTGGGGCCTGTCGTGGGGTGGGGGGAGGGGGGAGGGATAGCATTAGGAGATATACCTAATGTAAATGACAAGTTAATGGGTGCAGCACACCAACATGGCACATGTGTACCTATGTAACGAACCTGCATGTTCTGCACGTGTACCCTAGAACTTAAAGTATAATTTTAAAAATAAATAAATGTAATCCTGTCTTCCTAGGTGGAGGGCTCTAACAGTCTGAATTAAGCTAAGGAATTACTCACACATAACCTCACTCTACCTTACTTTTCCCTGGTCTGTTGTTTATCTAAATCAAGTTTATTTATTTCACGGGTATTTACTGATGCCCTAATATAAATGAGAGACCCACTCCTGTGCAATGGCATTAACCAAAGGTAACCAAAGGTGACCTCATCCCTTTTCTTTGTCCTGTTTCCTTCAGGGTTGGCGGCAGAAGGAAAAGAAAAGATTCCTGTTTATTTTCAGACTATGCTTCGAGGCTTCTCTCTGCACTCACAGAGCCCCCTGGGGTGGCAGGGACACCCAGGAGAATCAACAAGGGAATAATCAAAGCTGCTGCCCCTTCCCTGTTCACTTCACAACACTTTGATAATGGAGAGGGACGCTGGAGTATCTGGTTCAAAATGGCTGCTGGGTGACCCTGATACTTCTCAGTTGTATGCTATGGGGAATGAGTGGGTGGGGAAGAAGAAAAAGTGGTAGGATTTTAATCCATAATTACTCATTATTTTGTTTACTTGTGAAGGGAACGACTGCATTTTTGGCACTTCAAAGGACTTGCTTTCATACATTAAATATTTTGTTTGAGGAAGGGAAAAGCTCAGATAGTGTTTTCTGTTGAATAAGTAATGAGAAAGTAAATGAAGTCTGTTTTTTCTAGAAATTCCTTGAGCCAAGGAATGATTCCTTGCCCCTAAAATGTGAGGATTTCAGGTGACCAGTGAGTTTAATGTAAGTCAGCTGCATAATGTGGCTGCTTAGAAGCCCATAATGTAGCTGTGGGCTACATTAATAGAAGCATGATTGCTAGAATGATGGAGGTGATGGTGCTCCTCTGTGCACTGGAGGGCTCTCTGCTGGAATTATGCACTCAGGTCATGTCCTGTATGAGTCAAGGTTTCTAGCAGCAAGCAACTCTGGTTCATTTAAGAAGAAAGAGGGTTTATTCGAAACTATTAGAGGATTACACAGTTGTTGGGAAGGCTGGAGAAACTATTAAAGGCAGAGCCTTTTGGAATAACTTACAAACCACGACAGAGTGACAGAGTGAGACTCAAAAAGAAAAAAAAAGAACAGCCAAAGGAACTGGGATGTTTGGCCTGTAGGAGGGAAGACTTGGGTGACCATCTTAATTTTAGTTGTCTTCATTGCTGCCACTGCTTCCACCAAATGATATGGAGGCAGAAATCACTAACGGCATTTCTGTAGCTCCCAGAAACTTGGCTTCAGTGACTGCTCTTTCCACAAGCACCAGTGTCATTCCTACATCAGGAACTCAGCCGACCCGAAAAAGCTCAGTGCTTCTGCCTCTACTTGCACTACATAATGGAAGCTCCCATCTCCTCATGTTGGCCCTTTAGTATCAAAATTTCACTGGGTACATCCACATCTGACAGGCAGAACCTAGGTCCCATGCCTGCACCTTAGCTGTAGGGAGGCTGGCAGTTTCAGTTCTTGCCACTACATTAGGGAGATAGGAAATCTACTGTGTGATTTCTACAAATATAGAAAGATGGTGGGTAGCCATGAACATGACAAATGGCCCCTGTGCTTGACGAAAGTCACAGAGAAAATGCAGCCTCATCAGAAGGGAGTAACCAAAGGTGAAAGAACAGCCAAAGGGGCCAGACGTGGTGGCTCATGCCTGTAATCCCAGCACTTTGGGAGGCCGAGGTGGGTGGATCACTTGAGGTCAGGAGTTTGAGACCAGCTTGGCTAACATGATGAAACCCCATTTCTACTAATACAAAAAAACAAAATACTAATACAAAAACTAGCCAGGTGTGGTGGTGGGCACCTGGAATCCCAGCTACTCAGGAGGCTGAGGCATGAGAATCATTTGAACCCAGGAGGCGGAGGTTGCAGTGAGCTGAGATCATGCCGCTGCACTCCAGCCTGAGTGACAGAACGAGACTCAAAAAGAAAAAAAAAAAGAACAGCCAAAGGAACTGGGATGTTTGGCCTGTAGGAGAGAATACTTAGGTGACCATCTTAATTTTAGTTGTCTTCAAATAGCAGAACAGGCTTCATAGATAAGAGGAATCGGGCTGAGTGTGGTGGCTCCTGCCTGTAATACCAACATTTTGGGAGGCTGAGGCAGGAAGTTTGCTTGTTTCTAGGAGTTCAAGACTGGCCTGGACAACACAGTATGACCCCATCTCTGCAGAAAATTTTAAAAACATTAGCCAGGTGCAGCGGTTCATGCCTGTAGTCCCAGCTACTCTGGAGGCTGAAGTGGGAGGATCACTTGAGCCTGGGAGGTAGAGGCTGCAGTCAGCAGCGATCATGCCACTGCACCCCAGCCTGGGCAATAGAGCAAGACCCCCATCGAAAAGAAAGAAAAGAAAAGAAAGGAACTAGCTTGTTCAGTATCATAAAAAGGATAAGAGCTGTCCCAGCGACAGACCCTTCAAGGATTTAGATTTCACCTAAGTATAAATAAGAACTCTTAACAGTCAGAGCAAAGCTTTTCAAAGATGGAATGAGGAGGTAGTAGTGAGTTCTCCATGACAGGAGCCATTCCAGAAAATGCTAGCCAACCCCTCGATAGAGATTCAAGCAATAAAGGGAGTGTAGAATTTAAAGGTTCCTGACAACTCAGGGGTGTTGTCGTTACTAGTTCTCTCCTTCTGATACACATCATCTGGCCTCAGAAAATGAATATCAATCTTGATATAGCTTACGTAGAATTTGTAATGACCTCCCAGCCTTCATTTTTTGGCCACTGCTGCATTTTATTTCAGCACGCCACCCTATTTATCTTCATCAGGTTGTGAGGCAGCGGATCAATTCATTATTCTTACTTATCTAATACAGAAGGAAGAAAAATTGTCCACAAAACCTTACCAGCTGGGAAGGGAAAAAGTAGCTAGAAGCAATTCGGTCACTGAAAAATAGAACTTCTTTTTATAAAGAAAAAAATGCATTTCAGCAAAACGATCAAGTTAGGGAAGGGCCATTTTTGAGAGTGGGATGAAATCCAGGTATGTGAATTTGCACACGTCCACCACATCTCATATGCATTTTTTAAACTGGACTCAACAAAGAAAAACCATGAGTCATGCATTGGTTTGGCATAAGTGGCTGGTGAGTGAGGTCTCCTGTCCGCCTCAGTCTTCCCTCCTGCAGAATGGGAATGTCATTACATTAACATGACAGGTGATGGAGAGGCACTCTTGCAGCAATGGTGGTAAGGGACAGCTCTGTCAAAATGCAGGGAGAAGCAAGAGGGAAGAGAGGGATTTTCTGTGCCCTGGACATGGCCACCTCCGATTTTATCATGGGTTGGTTAATTTCACCTCCCCAGCAGCCTCAGGTCCCCAAAGGCCAGCAGTGGCTCTGTAAGCCATCAGCCTGAGGCAGTCTACTGGCTGCACTCTTAGTCTACTCTGGAGTATGAGGATTCATCCACCAGGCTCCAGTTTGATTCACGGCACTCTCTTGACAGCCTCATTCCCCAGAGTCCCCGAGGACCCCAGCATTTTGTTCATCTCCTGCTCTGAGCTCTTCGGGAGGGAATGTGACTATGTGACTGTCAGCCAGTTGTCACATTTCATCCCAGAGGCAGTGGAAATGATGCCTGAATGCCATGCCTCTGTGTGCTGCATCGGAGATGCCTCTATGTGACTGAAACATCATGGACGATTTTCAGTACATGGGAGGCTGTTCTTTTCCATTCCTTTATATTTTGTGCTCATCTTTATATGCCTTTATCTTCCTTCTCATAATAAATCCTATATGGTAAGAATTTTGATTCCCATTTTTACAGATAGGGAAACTGAGGTGGAGGCAACAAGGCTAAAAAGTGGCAGAGAGGGAATGTGGACCTAGGCTGACCTGACCTCTAAGCCCAACTCTTTGTGGTGCCTCTTCAGTTACAATGCCTCCTCTAAAGAGAGAGGGGAGAGAATAAGATGCTTCTCTCCTCTCCACTGCTTTGAAAAATATGATCAAGCCAGGCACAGTGCTCATATCTGTAATCTCAGCACTTTGGGAAGCCGAGGCAGGCGGATTGCTTGAGCCCAGGAGTTTGAGACCAACCTGGGCAACAAAGTGACACCCCGTCTCTACCAAAAAAAAAAAAAATTGGCCGGGCATCATCGTGGGTGCCTATAGACCCAGCTACTCAGGAGGCTTGAGCCCAGGAGGTGGAGGTTGCAGTGAGCCAAGATCATGCCAGGGTGAGTGACAGAATGAGACCCTGTCTCAAAAAATAATAATAATAATAAATATGATCAGCTGGGTGTGGGGGCATATGCCTGTAGTCTGAGATATTGGGAGGCTGAAGCAAGAGATTCACTTCAGCCCAGGAGTTCGAGGCCAGCCTGGGCAACATAGTGAGACCCTGTCTCTAAGACAAAAAAAAAAAAAGAGAGAAGGAGGAAGAAAGAGCTTTCTGGGCTAAGACAAATGTTAGTCATGTGTATCTGTGATGTGGTGTGATGACAGGTCTACTTGTTCTGGATGTCTTTTTTTTGGTGAGTATTGTTTGGGGGAGAAAGAAGTATTGGGTGGCGTGAGGATTCAATGTAGATGGACCAATGTTTAATGGGACTGAGGACACAGAGAGGACACAGAGCGGACACAGAGATGTGGGAGACAGGGTCCCTCAAGGTGCTCCTTGACACACAGACACAGCTTGGGGGACTTAGTTGCTGCCAAGCCAACTCTTGGCGTGACATGAGGTGGCAGGAGTGGGGACGGACGGCCACTGAGGACCCACCACCCCAGGACAGCCGGGCGCCTCTGGCAGGCAGGTCCACGGTTACTGATTGTCATGGTCAAGCTCAGCTGGGCACTGGGTCCAGAAGGAGATGTGACTGGCCCATTTTGTGTCTTTTATCTGAGCCTGCACCTTTCCTAACTCAGATTTTTTAAATACTTTTTTCTTTATACTCACTTTGTTTTTCTCTGTACTAATACACTAACTCGGATTTTTGGCTTTTATTGGGCCGAGGTCCCACCAACCTGGATGCTCAGCCTTGTTTGGTAAAGCAAGAAAAGTATCTGAGAAATGTTCCCTAAAGGCTGATTTCACCCCAAACAGTCACTCAGTGATGCGCCTCACTTACCAAGGACACACCCCCAAAAGGCATCTCCTGGCCTCCGGGTCTCACTCTGTTATCGCAGGGTGTGGTGGAGCAGGTGTGGTTGGGTGGCCACCAAGATGGATTTCAGTCTCTTTCCAGGCCCAGGGAACAAGCCGAATTCGAGAGACTTGGCTTTTAGCCTCCTGTTAGAGCCAAGAAAGACTTCAAAGACTCAACGGCTTCTAAGGCTTTTTACATCAGCAAAGTCCTGCAAAGCCTGCAAACGAAGGCTGCTTTGAGGCCTTTCATTCTAAGGACAGAGAAGGTAAATTCCATGGCCACTTTCTCCAGAGCAGCAACTGGGCTCCTTCTTTTTACTTCCATGGGGAGGACAAGAGATTCATTTGCTTTCTGTTGCTGAGAATGCTATCAAAACAAATTTTACTTTTAGCTGCAACCTTTCAAAAGCGTCTTAAGCATAAAGCACGAAAAAATCCCCAAGCTTATGTAGGCATTCTAGTTTTTTCGTGGTTGGTGTTTTTTTTTAACTGTGCCAGTTTCAGCTGAAACATGGTTCTATTGTTTCCATTTCCCACTGTACATACAGCACTGAATTCTTGGGGAGCAAAAGTACGAGGGCAGATTGAGAAACCCCAGTTCATGAGAAGTTTGTTGTTGTGGTGGTTGTTGTTTTAGCAAAGAGAGGAAATCGGTAAATAGCTCTGATGTTGAGACAGCAGGAGGTCAGGACATTGAGCAACGTGCAGGTGGGGTTGTGGACTCAGGGCTGAGCGGCAGGGGGCGCTCCTCCCAGTGCAAGCCTTCAGAAACACCAGCCTTGAGTTGGACGGTTCTGGCTCATTGTGTGGAGTCCTAAGTGGTCACACTCCACACTCCTAAGTGGTCTGGTCACACAGTTGTTTTAAAGAAGGGTAATGGCTCATTAGGTAGATTTGGGTAGGATGCAGCTTGAAGTGGGGCGTAAAATCCTTTCATTGTCCAATGGGGAGGTCACAGTGCAGCAGCTACTCCTTGTACTTGGAATGAGGGAAACAGCGTAATCTAGACTTGAACACGGGCTCAGGAACCAGGAGCGCCAGCCACAGATCTCACTCACTCTCACTGTTGTTTGCAACTTTGGGCAAGTCAAGTAACTTCTCTGCTGGATCACTGCTTCTCCAACTGTGTGAGCATTTGTAGCTTTTTCCCAAATAAGTACTCTACTTCCTGGCTTTCCAAAGTGGAGCCGGACAGTCGCTTCTGCATCATTGGGAGTTTGTTGGCAATGCAGAATGTCAGCCTCGATTCCAGACCTACTACATGGAATCTGCATTTTAACCAGAGGCCCAGTGCTGAGCACACTGAGGTCTGAGAAGGACTGCTCTGTTCTCCCAGGTCACTGCAATGGTATCAGGTTCTTCTGTTCCTCTCTCTCAGAGGATACTTGAAATGATGCCTGAAAAAAAAGACAATCTAGGCCAGGCATGGTGCCTCATGCTTGTAATCCTAGCCCTTTGGGAGGCCAAGGCGGGAGCATCACTTCAACCCAGGAGTTTGGGACAAGCCTGGATAACATAGTAAGACCCCATCTCTACAAAAGAATAAAAAATTAGCTGGGTGTGGTGGTGCACACCTGTAGTCCCAGCTACTTGGGAAGCTGAAGTGGGAGAAGTGGGGAGGATTGCTTGAGCCTGAGAGGTCGAGGCTGCAGTGAGCCATGATCGTACCACTGCACTCCAGCCTGGATGACACAGCGAGACTCTCAAAAAAAAAAAAAAAAAAAAGATCATCTATATATATGGTCAGGACTCAGGTAAGATCCTTAAGATGTCTTTGTATTCATCTGTAATAAGTCATTTTAAGAACTCCATGTTCTCTGAGGCATTTTCTGAAAGTCATTTGTGCACCCATCTATTGCCAATGATTTCTCCTCTCACTAGAGGTGTGAGATGTTTTTCAAACCCGCTATGAATTTCTGTTAAATTACCTTACCCATTAGATGTTTTTTCACCCTGCTGTCTCTCACCAGGGGAACGCTGTGAAAAAGCTTTAGAACACTGTGCAAGCAATCATCCTTTCCAGCCACCTGTTTCTGCTGACAACTTTATGAATAGCTTCTTTACCAATCATTAGACAAAAACCATTCCATTCTGGAGAATGATGACACAGAAGGTTAAGGGCTTTTTCTAAAAGCACATACACATGTGTGAGGTTTGCCAAAACCAGCTTGTGCCCAAAGTAGGACAGATGGGCCACTAAGGGGAAAGAGCAGAGAAAGGGATTCAAGAGAAGGAAGTTTTTGTAAGGCTTGTGCTATAGACTGAGTGACTGTATTCCCCCAAAATTCATAATCATCAATGTGATGGTATTAAGAGACAGGGTGTTTGGGAGATGCGTAGTCATGACAGGGTAGCCCACATGAATGAGATTAGTGCCCCTATAAAAGAGACACCAGAGAGCTCCCTCACCCCTTCTGCCATGTAAGGACACAGTGAGAAGACAGCAGTCTATGAACCAGGAAGCAGGCTCTCACCAGATACTTCATCTGCTGGTGCCTTGATGTTGGACTTCCCAGCTCCAGAACCATGACAAATAAATTGTTGTTTAAGCCACCCAGTCTATGGCATTTTTGTGAGAGCAGCCCAGATGCATTAAGACAGCTTAAAGGGGGCCTTCTGAATGGTACATCTAGGGGGCAAAAGTCACAATTTGAAATGTCTTCCTTAGAAATGTCCTCTGAGAATATAAAAGTAATAATAAGAAATCGATTTTTACAGAATGCCCCAAACTCCTAAGATTTCAGCCTTTAGGTTATGTCCCTGTCATCATATTAATGAAACATGACTTTTTCAGTAGTACAAAGAAGTGTTTCTTTTCACCCAAAGGAGACCGTGGTCCTGTCTACAACATGGCATGAAGGAGGACTGATCAATTATCCAGATAATACAAGGCCAACCTCTCCCCGCCAACACCACTACCACTATACACAACATCATCACGGCCTTCGCTAAAGTATCAGACCAGGGGAGACTAATCACATTACTTGGACAAAGTTTAGCAAACTACCTGCCTCATGAATCCTTCTATTTATTCTGTGGCAGTGGTTCTCTACTGGGGAAGATTTGGCAATGTCTAGAGACGTGTTTGGTTGTCACAGCTGGCAATGGGTTGCTACTATTGGGCAGAGGCAAGGGATGCTGCTGGACATCCTACACTGTGTGGGACAGTCTCTACAACCCAGAATTCTCCAGTCCCAATGTCAGTAGTGCTGAGGTTAAGAAGCTCTGTTCTGGGAGATGGGGTTGAGCCTCCATTCACTGCAAAGCAAAGGAACATTCACAGCAATATTGAAGGAATAGGGGCCAGCACTTCCTCCATGGTTTCTCCAACCACAGGAAAAGCAACATGAACAGCTTCTGGGATGAGCTAGATTGAGCCAAGTCCAATCCCATTCGGCTGTGTCATCACGGGGCAACTTATGATACCAGAGCTCAGGTATTGACAGTTCGGCCCTTCAGAGGGATTTCTGGGGTTTTTAGCTTCTTCCAATCCTGGTACTTTGGCCTAGATTAGGGCTTCTGGGAGGTCAAGAGAAATCCAGGTCACATCCATTTTGGAGGCTCCAATTATAAGGGCAAAAAGAGGTCGGGTGTGGTGGTTCACACCTGTAACCCCAGCACTCTGGGAGGCCGAGGCAGGAGGATTACTTGAGGTCAGGAGCTTGACACCGGCCTGGCCAACATGGTGAAATCCGAATCTACTAAAAAAAAAGTACAAAAGTACAAAAAGAGGCCAAAATAAGATTATAAAAATTTCTATTTATTTTAAATATTTGCACATAAGATATATAAATATTTGCATATAAGAAATTATCCCTTTTACCCCCCCCCCCAGCAATGGAATGCAATGTACTTGTACCATTCACAATATAATTGCAATATTTATACAATTTATGTATTAATTCACAGTGCCCTAGAGACAGGATTGCCTTACAGTAGGGTACAACCTGAAGGAAGCTTTCTTTTCCTTGGTCCTGTCAGTGTGTCTCTGTAACTATAAATATACTTACTTAGAAATAATATTAAAGATCAAAATTTACAGCTTTTTGAGGCTATATCATAAGGAGCAACAAAAGTTCAGAGGCAGGAAATAATAGTTAAAGCATACAAGTACTTACATGTTTATATACATATACGTATAACTATGTATAGTTAAAACATAAAAACTGGATATGTTGGGTAGCATTCTAAGTGATGTGTGCGTGTGTTCAAACTTTTATTATTATTATTATTATTATTTTGAGATGGAGTCTCGCTCTGTCACCCAGTCTGGAGTGCAGTGGTGCAATCTCAGCTCACTGCAACCTCAGCCTCCTGGGTTCAAGCGATTCTCCTGCTTCAGCCTCCTGAGTAGCTGGAATTACAGATGCCTGCCATCCCGCCCGGCTAATTTTTATATTTTTAGTAGAGACGGGGTTTCACCATGTTGGCCAGGCTGGTCTCATACTCCCAACCTCAGGCGATCCACCTGCCTCGGCCTCCCAGAGTGCTGGGATTACAGGTGTGTGCCATGTGTAAACTTTTATAGCAACATTTTGTTGTCATCTTCCTATTTTACAGATGGGGAAACCAAAACGGAGAGTGATTGAGTGACTTGCGCAAGGTCACACACCTCAGGAGTAGGTATGTAAGTAGAATAAGGATTCAAACTGAGAAAGTTCTGCTCCAGAGGCCACCACCCTTACCATTTTCATATGTAGCCTCTCATAAGGAGAGGGGCAGACTCAAGTAGATGTGCAGAATCATAGAAAGGCTTCAGAAAGTCTATAAAGAGTGGTTCAGGCATTGGAGTCAAGCAGATCCAAGTTCAATTCCAGGCTTTGACCCTTATTAGCTGTGAAGCCTTGGGCTCCCTACTTTAACCTAAAGCCTAATGGTCCCCACCAGTCAAGCGAGGCTATGTTGGAATCTGAGAACTAGCCCTGAGGACACAAGGAAAGGGCTCAGTCATCACAGCTGTGTCTGATCTCAGCCTCCGCCTTCTTAGATAATAAAAGTGAGGCTCAGAGACAGAAAGTGGGCTGCCCAGGGCCACACAGCAAACTATTGACAGTCCTCAGCACACCTGGTCCAATGTCCTGTGCATAGCATTGGCAGCTCTAAGCCAACTCATCTAGTCGACTCTGCCCCCTACAGCTTCTTGCCCATTTCAGGGCTCCAGATAGGCTTCTGCCCACCTGCAGGGCCACGCTGCCATACTTGGTGGTCTGTGGCAAAGTGGGTAAAGCAGGAACAACTGGAGAAGACACAGAACAAAACATGTGGGAAAAAAATGTTCAAGGTCCAGGCATAGGCTAGGTGTGGTGGCTCATGCCTGTAATCCCAGCACTTTGGAAGGCAGAGGCAGGAGATTCTTGAGCTCAGGAGTTCAAGATTAGCCTGGGCAACATGTTGGAAACCCGTCTCTACAAAATATACAAAAATTAGTCAGGTATGTTGGTGTGCACCTGTAGGCTCAGCTACTCGGGAGGCTGAGGTGGGAGGAGCTCTTGAGCCCAGGAGGAAAGGGTTGCAGTGAGTGCGGATCACACGACTGCACTCCAGCCTGGACGACAGAGCCAGACCCTGTTTTAAAAAAAAAAAAAAAAAAAAAAAAAGGGTCAGGTGCGGTGGCTCAAGCCTGTCATCCCAGCACTTTGGGAGGCCAAGGCAGGCAGATCACCTGAAGTCAGGAGTTCAAGACCAGCCTCACCAACATGGAGAAACCCCGTCTCTACTAAAAATACAAAATTAGCCGGGTGTGGTGGCGCATGCCTGTAATCCTAGCTACTCGGGAGGCTGAGGCAGGAGAATCGCTTGAACCCGGGAGGCAGAGGTTGCAGTGAGCTGAGATCCTGCCATTGCACTCCAGCCTGGGCAACAAGAGCTAAACTACTCTCAAAAAAAAAAAAAAAAAAAAAATTCCAGGCATAATCCTGGAGTGTCCACTAGGTGGAGCCACACTTCTGCATTCTTGGGTTCCCAAGAATTTAATTTTTTTTTCTATTGAAGAGCATGAATCTGGCTCATACGTGAGGGATTGAGAAGTTTCACTCAACCATTCATTCATTCAATATTTACTCAGCACCCACTCTGTATACCAGGCATGGGAATTCAACACTAAACGCAGTACTTAGGAGCTGTAATTATCATCCGGCAACAAATTCTTTGCTTCTGTGATGAATCTCACAGCCATGCAACAAGTACACCATCCCATCCTTAACAAGGTCTGAGAAGTCATCTTCCATTTATTCTTCCAGTATTTATTTGGCGTGTACTCTCTCCCAGGCCCTGGGCATGCTAAGATGGAAAAGACCATCTAGTGGAGAAGACAAACATATGACCGGTGTCCACTCAGCCTGACCCTACATGGTGACTGACGCCTGCCAAAGCCTGGCTCGAGGGGCGCAGTAACCATGCTCAGATCCTCCTTTCTCCTCTGGCATCACAAATGGGGAGATCAAAACCTTTGCCCAGCCCATCCTTCCTCTGCTTCTCATGAACAGTCTGGTCCATTTCCCTGTCCTCTCAGAATCATGCTGCTGATAAAGACATACCCGAGACTGGGCAATTTATAAAGAAAAATAGGTTTAGTGGACTCACAGTTCCACGTGGCTGGGGAGGCCTCACAATCACGGCGGAAGGTGAAAGGCACGTCTAACAGAGCAGCAGGCAAGAGCAAAAATGAGAATGAAGAGAAAGGGGTTTCTCCTTATAAAATCATCAAATCTCATGAGACTTATTCACTATGATGAGAACAGTATGGGGGAAACCACCCCCATTATTCAATTATCTCAATTATCTCCCGCCAGGTTCCTCCCACAGCACATGGGAATCATGGGAGCTACAATTCAAGGTGAGATTTGGGTGGGGACACAGCCACATCATATCAGGTGGGGTTTCCGATGGCAAGGATGTGATTAATTTCATTATATCCAGGGCTTTGGTGGAGCCTTTCACTTTTCCCTGGGCACGCATTTCTGTCTTTCCTTCCAAAAGAGGTGGCGTGGGTGTGGAAGGAACCACACAGGACTGAAGACGGAAAACACAGGCTCTGTCCCCCATCTTGACGCTTAGATGATGTGTGGTCTTAGATCAGTCACCTCCTTCTTCTCGTTAGTCTCCTCAGCTGTGGTAGATTAAATGTGGCCACAAATTCTTGACAGATCTTCCCATCAGGAGATGGCATCTTTCTCCACTTCCCTTGATTCCGCCAGGCAACACTCTTGTCCAAGTCACCGGCATCTGCCCCTTCATTACTGCAATAACCTCCTCATAGTTCTCCCCACATTCGCTCTGCCCACCCCACCATCCCCACCCCCACATTCCACACACGGGAGTTGGAATGACCTGAAATCTAAGTCAGATGATGTCATTCATCATCCTACGCCCCTACCCACCGCCCTGTGCCTCCCTAACCAACCACCCACAGCAAGACTGCATCTTCTGGCTCCCTGTCACCCCTCTTCCCTGTCTCCTCATTCATACTGCTATAGCCTCACCTCTGGGATTGTGACCCTGGAACCACATAGCTGGTCATCTGGAGACAGACTGGAGCAGAAAACCAAGGTAGAACTTGAGTTGGAAAGCTTATAGGGTTGAAGTTTCACTTTAACGCTGAGGTGTTACACAGAAGCTAGAGGGGGCAGAAAACTACCCAAGTCTGTGGAAAGGAGTTTTTCTGACAGGTGGTGATAGTGGTGGCATCAAGGAGGAGGGGACTGAGGGAATGCAGTTGCTGGTAAAGGGTAGATGGTCAGAATCCTCAGCTGTCACCCAGCAACTTGACGGTGAATAGGATGAAGCAGTCACCAATCAGGCTGTCACAACCACATTTGCTTGCATGTCTTATTTAATTTTCCCTTGACCATAAACCTCTGATCCTATATTAGAATACAGAGCCCTCAGAGGGAAGGGCTGTGTCATGTTCATTTTTGTAGCTCCCTGTCTCCCAAACTGTCCTGCATAAAGATGGCAAAGAAAACAATTGTTGCATGTCATGGGTGACAGTTCTTGCCTCCTCACAGCAGCACCCCAAGTTTCCTCCAGAGAATTCTTGCTGCCAACTCTGTGTTCCCTGTACAGCTAATTCTCTCTCTGGCTCCAGGGCTGGGCATGAGGCTCAGGCTTTGCTGAGCAGAGCATCACCTTCTCCTGACCACAGTGACTGGTGATCATTCCAGAACTGAAGAGGCAAATGAGAGAGAAGTAGAGAGAAATGCAAGTGCTTTTTCTGCCGAGGTTGCAAGTAGTAAAGATGCATCAAGCCTGAAGCTCCTGATGGCTTAATGTTAAGTGAACAGATTGTAAGACAGAAACTAAATATAGAAGAGAGGTCCAATCCTGATGACAGTGGTTTCAGCCCCTAGATCCAGCTATGTCTGAAGCTATTTATGTCAGTAGGTTCTTGAGCTACTAAGCATATACATTCTCTTTCTTGCCCAAGGCAAATGGAGTCGGTTAGCTGTCAATTGCATTCAATAGAGTCCTGACAGACCAACGAATGAATGAATGAATTGATGAACAACTCTACCAGAAAACTTGTGTCACATGACAGACAGGATCCTATCTCAGGAGTCGGGTTAGTATATTGCCATTGCTAACTCTATGACGCTGGGCAAGTTTCCTGATTTTTTTTTTTTTTTTTTTGAGACAGAGTCTTGCTCTGTCACCCAGGCTGGAGTGCAGTGGCACAATCGATCTCTGCTCACTGCAACCTCCGCCTTCCAGGTTCAAGTGATTCTCCTGCCTCAGCTTCCCAAGTAGCTGGGACTACAAGTGCATACCACCACACACAGTTAATTTTTGTATTTTTAGTAGAGACAAGGTTTCACTGGCCAGCCTGGTCTCAAACTCTTGACCTCAGGTGATCTACCCACCTCGGCCTCCCAAAGTGCCAGGATTACAGGCTTGAGCCACCACGCCTAGCCTTCCTAATGTATTTGAACTTCAGTTTAGAACTCTAATATTATTCATTTATTCAACGAATATTTAGTGACATTTGCTGTGCCAGGCACTCTGCCAGGTGTTGGCAATACTGTGGTAACAAGACTCTCACGGCTCTCGTCCTTGTGAAAATGCCAATTCAGTTCTAGAAAAATCAAGTTTCATTTTTGTACACCTGATTTTGTCACTGTCAAATCTATTCATGGTATAAGTCTCTAGCACTTGGTAAGTGGTAGCTATCATTCCTTCCACTCCTTATCAGCTAATATTGTAGGGTCAGCTAGAGGAGGAGCAAGAAACAGAGCCTCGTGCAATGGGGGAGGAGGGTACCATAGGCTTCATTTCCTTCCCAGCACTCAAGCCCATTTAGAAAAAAATGTTTATGAGCCTCAGTACAGATGACACTGAGCTATAGGGTATAACAAGAGCCTGGCATGGCCCAGGATTCGATCCTCTGGGACCCTTAACTAAGAATAGCCAACGTGCCACCAACGACATTTATTCTGGCCTCTGGCAAAGAGACTTTTCTGACTTAAATATGTTCATCAGTTCCTAAGAATCAGGCTTAGAAACAGAGCTACTTAAGCTCAATCTCTTTCAATTCTCATTATAAGGAATTAATCATACCTGCTGCCATGGGATTTTCATTTTTAAAGGGAATTCACAGCTTGGGCTGAAGTGGCAGAATGTCGGAAATAAGTCCTGTAAAAGAGGCTGAGTTTAGCAAGCCCAAAATAACTGGAGTCCTAGCTTACCTTCTGTTATTTAACTTATTCACTCATTTAACAACTATGATTTATCAAGAGCCCACCCTGCACCAGGCACCATGCTGGTTGTGACAGCAAACCTGACAGGGACTGGGCCATCATGGAGCAGAAGCTGGCTCATGAGAAGGCAACCCACGGGGGCAAAAGACCTAGAGTCAAATACTCAAACCTAAGCCCATTCCCGTATACAAGGTGAGCCCACGTGAGCCTAGCCAGGGGTTAATACATCAGCCTCTGCTAAGAAATCAGTTCATGCGCTCTATTCTAAATACAGCACATTTCTCACCTGCTTTATTATTGCTGCATTAAAAGATGACCTCAAAACTCAGCAATTTAGTACTTACTACCACTAAACTATACTCTTAAAAATGGTTAAGTTCGAGGCTGCAATGAGTTATGATCATGCCACTGCACTCCAACTTGGATGACAGAAATGTAACCAGGCACCCCCATTTTTTAAGAGAATGAGTTATTTTTTAAATTTCATTATTCTTTTCTCTTTTCTCCTTTTCCCCTGTTCCCCACTTCCTACTTAGCTCTTTAGAAATGCCATTATAACGTTTTACCTTCCCTTCACCAGATACTCTCTACAGGGCAAGCTTATCTAACTATGTGCTTAAAAGCTCCAGAGTGGAAATTTCTCCCACCAGGAGCCTGCCTCAAGAGACAACAGTCAATTTACAACCATGGGGTGTCTCCTACAAAACACTCTCTCACCTGGAGAGTATCTGGAGACAAGCGCCATTTTTACAACTTAATTCTGCCCATGAAGCACCAGCTCAACCATCTGGTAGTTAAGGCACTGAAGCAAGTCACATAGGCCCCTACTTGCCTGGCCCCTACTTGCCTGCCCCCTCCCATGCATGCCATTCATGCCACATCCCCCTTTAAAAGCCCCAGCTTTCTGCCCCAGAAGTGAAGTGGTACCTTAAGGCAGGAAGCCTATACTTCTTCCCTTAAGCTAGCTAGCTTTGGAATAAAAAGTCCTTTTTTTTTTTCTTTTTTTTCTGAGACAGAGTCTTGCTTCTTCACCCAGGCTGGAGAGCAATGGTGCGATCTTGGCTCACTGCAACCTCCGCCTCCCAGGTTCAAGCAATTCTCCTGCCTCAGCCTCCCAAGTAGGTGGGATTACAGGCATGTGCCAGCACGCCTGGCTAGTTTTTGTGTATTTAGTAGAGACAGGGTTTCACCGTGTTGACCAGGCTGCTCTCAAACTCCTGACTTCAGGTGATCCACCGGCCTTGGCCTCCCAAAGTGCTGGGATTACAGGCGTGAGCCACTGCACCCGGCCAAAGTTTACTTTTTTTATACCAGACCTCATTCTTGTTATTGGACTCTGCAAGAAGGGAGCACCAAACCTGCAACTCAGGGTTTTCTTTTTTTTACTTTTTATTTTTCTTTTTTGAGACAGGATCTCACTCTGTCACCCAGGCTGGAGTGCAGTGATGCAATCATGGCTTACTGCAGCCTCAACCTCCTGGTCTCAAACAATCCTCCCACCTCAGCCTCCCAAGTAGCTGGTGTTATGGGATCTTTGAGGTGTCGATTTTCTGGCCAGAAACCTCTGTGGCAGGTGGCACCTTTGCCCGAGTTCTTGTCCTGAGTCCAGGACGAATGGGGAACACAGACAAGTGAAGGGTGAACAAGCTGAAGATAAACTTTATTAAGTGTTAGAACAGCTCAGAGAAGACCCACAGTGGGTAGCTCCTCTCTGTAGGTAGGTCGGCCAATCGAGTGTTCAGCTGTCAGCAGACAGGAGGCCCTAGAGAGGGTGGCTCCTCTCTGCTGGCAAGTCGTAGTATCATCTCCAGCTATCAGCAGAGGAGAGCTGCTCTCTGCAGCTGATCCTCCCATAGTCTCAACATCCTCTGCGTCCTCTGCCCTGCTCTGGCCATCCTCTCTCGTGCTCTGGCTGAGACCGGGCTTTTATGGACCTCAGAGGGGAGGAAGTACATGCCGATTGGTCCATGGGTGGCCATTGGCAGCCCAGAAGAGGTACCACGAGTCCCTACTCCCAACCTCGGAACTGGGAGCTGGCCCCCAGCTTTCAGGCCCTCCCTGGTCTGAAGGTCAGGCCTTACTGGGGAACCGCAGCCCAGGAATCTATTTGCCTCCTGATGCCATTCATGGCCCTGGCGCTCATCCCCAAGCCCGCTCCAAGATCTGAGCAGGTTCCAAGAGAGGAGAGAAGTCAGGCAGCAGAAGCAGACAGCCCTGAGTGACAGAGTTGTGGGGGCCCTTCCCGGGCCCCTGAGGGCACAGGCTATATAGATGGCCCAGTCCTGCACCTGAGAGGGCAGCCACAGCTGCACCCTGGGAGTTCCCACCCCGCCAACTTGGGAGGGGCAGGGATCCCACTTGTCCCCAGCTCCTGCCTGCTCTGCGGAGCAGGAGGCCCAGGTCTGCAGCCACTGGTCGGGCGGCTGCAGCTGCACCTGGGAGGGCAGATCCTGCCTGCTCCCGCCACTCCCACCAAGAGCACAGGGAGCCCCAGATCCACAGCTGCAGTTTGGGTGGCTGCTGCCTGCTCTGTAAAGCAGGAGGCCTGGGTCTGCAGCTGCAGTTTGGGTGACTGCAGCAGTACCCCGGGAGCTCCTGCCCCAACTCAGAAGGGGCAGGGCTCCCACTGGCTCCATGGAGCATGCAGCCCCAGCTGTGCCTCCTTGCTGTAGCTGGCATGATGGCAGCAGCTGCTGCCATCACTGGGACCACAGGTGCATACCACCATGCCCAGCTAATTTTTTTATTTGTAGAGACAAGATTTTGCTGTTTTCCAGGTCGGCCTCAAACTCCTGGGCTCAAGTGATCCTCCTGCCTTGGCCTCCCAAAGTGCTGGCCTCTCAAAGGAGGGCAAAGTGGATTTAGGCCGAGCCACGGAGCCCACCCTAAATCTGTCTCTTTTTAAAAATGGCAAATTTTGTGTTATGTATATTTTACTATAATAAAAATTATGGAAGGATTTTTTCTTTTAAAGTTAGTGGTTAGAAACAATCTTTTACTAAGCTCACAAATTCTGGGGGTCAGAAATTTGGGCAGGGCACAGTGGGGATGTCTTGTCTCTGTTCCATGATGGCTGGGTCTCAGCTGAGCAAGCTCAAACGCTGGGAGTGAATCAATGTCTGGGAGCTGGATTCACCTAAAGGCACTTTCATTTACAGGTCTGGGTTAACTCAAAAACTACAACTGTCTACTGGAGTACCACATGTGGTCTCTCCATGTGGTTTGGTTTCCTAACAGCATAGTGGACTCAGGGTAGCTGATATGGTTTGGGATCTGTGTCCTTACCCAAATCTCACCTTGAATTGTCATAATCCCCATGTGTTATAGGAGGGACCCAGTGAGAGGTAATTGAATCATACGGGCGGCGTTTTCCTGTGCTTTTCTCATGATAATAAGTCTCATGAGATCTGATGGTTTTATTAATTAATTAATTTATTTTTATTTATTTTTATTTTTTGAGACAGAGTCTTGATCTGTTGCCCGGGCTGGAGTGCAGCAGTGCGATTTCGGCTTACTGCAACCTCCGCCTCCTGGGTTCAGGTGATTCTCCTGCCTCAGCCTCCCAAGTAGCTGAGACTACAGGTATGCACCACCATGCCCGGCTAAGTTTTATATTTTTAGTAGAGACGGGGTTTCACTACGTTGGCCAGGCTTGTCTAGAACTCCTGACCTTGTAATCCAACTGCCTCGGCCTCCCAAAGTGCTGGGATTACAGGCATGAGCCACTGCACCCAGCTGAGATCTGATAGTTTTATAAAGGGGAGTTCCCCTGCACATGCTCTCTTCTTGCCTGCTGCCATGTAAGACATGCCTTTCTTCTCTTTTGCCTTCTGCAGTGATTGTGAGGCTTCCCCAGCCAACTGAAACTGTGAGTCCATTAAACCTCTTTTTCTTTATAAATTATCATGTCTTGGGTATGTCTTTATTAGCAGTGTGAGAACAGACTACCACAGTAGCCAAACTTTATATGGTGGCTCAGGGCTCCAAACATTAGTGTTCTACTGGTGGGCAGTGGGGGAGTGGGTGGGGGGTGTGGAAGTGGAGAAGTGGGTGTGGTGGTGGGGAAGCAAAACCTGCATCCTATTTATGACTTAACCTTGGAAACATCATTTCTGTCATACTTTATTGGCCAAAGCAGACCTACAACTACCCAGATTCAAGTTGGTGGGGGCGGGGGGGGGTGCTTTGATGGAGGAATATCAAGATCACGTTGCAGACAAACATGTGTGAAGGACTCTATTGTTGCAGCCATCCTTGAAAAATATTATCTGCCATATGGTCTTTCTAAAATGGGTTAAAAGCAAAGAAACCACAGAAGAATCATCTTACAGAAACAGAGCAGGGGGAGAAGTCTTAATGGACAAATAATCTGCCTACACAAACAATGAGCAATTTACTTCTGGGAGGATCTCTCCTCAGGCAGGGAGATTGCCAAGCGCATTAGGCTGAGTAGAGTTGGTGACAGAACTCATAGTTGTATCAGCTCCTCTGTGTGTGATCTGAGTAGGAAAGTATTTGACTACTGGGGACTCTAGCTTCATCTTTAAAACAAAGTGTTGTGAGAACCAAGTAAAATACTGTATAGAAAGATAAATGTGTTGCAAAAAGGTCCCCGAATAGAGCCCACAGGTGGACACCCCCCGTTTGACAATGCCACTGGGAAAGACCATGTGTACTGCCAGTTTATCCTTGCCACTGTTTCCCCATAGCAGCCACCTTCCTGTTTCTTTTGCTTGCCTCTCTCAGAGGTAGATGCATTGAGGGTAAATGACCAGGACAGGGCCACACAGCCAAGAGATCAAAACCCAGATTTTTCTGGGATGCTAGTTTGAGATTTTCCATTCTACAAACGTCCAGCCACTCACGAGTTCTAACAGATGACTGATCTTAGCTGAGAAGCATGACATAGATACAAGGGAGTCACACTGCCCGGGTTCATATCCCAGCTGCACCGCTTACTAGCAGTGTGACCTTTGGAAGGATCGCTGTTTTCCCAGGTGTAAAACGGAAATAAGACCTCCCACAAAGGGGTAAGTAATCACGTGATACGGCACTCAAAACAGCGCCTTCAACATAAGTAAGCCCTTTGTGTTTGCCAAGACTAAATCACTACTGCATAGTTAGTATATAATTGGTGCTAAATGTTTTTTTCTCACTTTTTTTTTTGGTGCTAAATGTTTTAAGGTGAGAAAGTAACATTTAGGGATGTAATGAGATGTAATGGTGGGATCTCCGTGAAACGACAAATTCATTTTGGAGAAAGCTTTTTAAAAAACGCAAACCACAAACCTCTGCCATTTGTCAGCTTGAAGTCTACGGAACTGCAAGCAAAATAAAGATTGGTGAAACTTTGCTTCTGACTGACCCCTACAGTCCCAAATATTTTCTTGGCCTTTACAAAGCCCGCAGGCATCGTCACATGCAGTCCTGAAAAGCCTTTTCTCTATACTTCACACAGCCCAGACCAGCCCACGTGGATTCCTCGCCCGGCTGCTTCCGCTTCCATTTTGTCCCCTCCTATTTCTCATTCGGCGCCTCAGAATGACGTCTGAAATGAGCGCCGACGCTGCCCAAACAGGAGCCTGCGCATGCGCTCTGCCCTGGCAGCGGCCCTGTGCAGATCCCTGAGCGTGTGGCAGCAGTGCGGTCGTGGTCCCTCCCTATGCAGCCTGGTTTCTAGCGTGACACGCCCTTGACTTGAGGACCATGAACCGCAGCCGCCAGGTGACGTGCGTGGCCTGGGTCCGCTGCGGCGTGGCCAAAGAGACACCAGACAAGGTGAGGCCTGGTCGCTGGGAGACAAGGGGAGCAGCGTCTTTACGGCACTGGGGGTCCGCCCAGCTGGGGGAACGTGGACCCGGAACTCGGGGCGTTGGCTGGTGCGACTGGCTGGGGTGAGGGCGGCTTTGCCCGGATTGTCGCGACTAGAGCTGCAGTTCAGAAGGTCTGGTTCGCCTGAGCCTGGAGAGTCAAGGGCCGCGCCTTCTCACTGTTCCCACCCTCAAGCCCAACCCCACTCCCAAATTCGCACGCACATGGACTTAGCGGGCCGGAAAGGGGTGGGCTGCTGTTTTTGGTGGGTAATACCCCAAAAGGCTTTTTGACAACACCACTAGCTTCACTAGCACCCAAGTGCATTTTCAAGCATAACTGGGAAGAGAGCATGAAAACTCCACTTTCCACTCTTGTGCTCCGTGTCTGAAGGAGTGAGGATGAATGTGGTGTAGAAAAACTGGTGTGGAGGCTAAGATGTCGTGAGGCTGGGAGATGAATAGGGAATTTCTTGCAGTAATCCAAGTGAGATGTTGATGGTAGCAGGGAGGATGAGAGGTAAATGTCTAACACATGAAAAACCTACAAGAGTTGGAGACTGAGACTGTAGCAGAGGTGACGATTACTTAAGTAATTTCCTCATTGGATACTAAGTGCTTTCTGTAGGCCAGGCATTGTTCAGGGTCCTGGGATAGGCATGAACAAAATAGAAAAAGTCCCGCCGGGCGCGGTGGCTCACGCCTGTAATCCCAGCACTTTGGGAGGCCAAGGCGGGCGGATCACGAGGTCAGGAGATCGAGAGCATCCTGGCTAACACGGTGAAACCCCGTCTCTACTAAAAATACAAAAAATTAGCCGGGTGTGGTGGTGGATGCCTGTAGTCCCAGCTACTCGGGAGGCTGAGGCAGGAGAATGGCGTGAACCCGGGAGGCGGAGCTTGCAGTGAGCCGAGATCGCACAGCTGCACTCCAGCCTGGGCGGGCAACAGAGTGAGACTCCGTCTCAAAAAAAAAAAAAAAAAAAAAAAAAAAAAAATAGAAAAAGACCCTGCCTTTATGGAGTCGACATGTGCACATATAGTATGTCAGTGGGAGTTAAGTTCTACCAAACAGTAAAAGGGGTTGATTTGAATGTACTTGACCAAGATAATGATGATGGTGATAGGAATGTGATTGGCTTGGACATGGAGTTAACAGGAATGACGGATTGGAGTAGTCCCAGTAGTTGTAAATTCCACCTGGGCACAGACTGTTTTATTTACTGTTTCTCCAGGGTTTGGTTGATGGTAGGCACTCGGTGTTACATTTATAGAATAGGGACAGAAAATTATTTCATATAAAAATTGTTGGAGGAAACAGTTATTAAAAAGAGACATATAGCCTTTCAAATACTTGAAGACTGATTTCCAAATGAATCTACACATTGAAAATCTCACACTTGGGGAGGTTCAAAAAATACTGATGTTTATGTCCCACTCCCAAGTATTGTGTTGTAATTAGCCTGTAGTGTAGCCTAAATTATTTAAGATTCCCTAGGTGATTCTGATGTACAGATAAGTCTGGGAACCACTATTTGAAGAGTTTATAGGAAAAAGAGATTGAATTTATGAAATCCTAGAAAGGAAAACTTGGACCAAATGAGAGAAATTGGACAAGCCAGTTGCGGTGGCTCGTGCCTGTAATCCTAGTCATTCAGGAAGCTGAGGTGGGAGGATCGCATGAGCCCAGGAGTTCACAGCTGCAGGGAGCTGTGACCATGCCACATCTCTTAAAAATTAAAATTAAGGCCGGGCACGGTGGCTCACGCCTGTAATCCCAGCACTTTGGGAGCCCGAGGCAGGTGGATCATTTGAGGTCAGGAGTTCCAGACCAGCCCGGCCAACATGGTGAAACCCAGTCTCTACCAAAATACAAAAATTAGCTGGGCGTGGTGGCGCGTGCCTGTAATCCCAGCTGCTCAAGAGGCTAAGGCAGGAGAATCGCTTGAACCCGGGAGGTGGAGGTTGCAGTGAGCCGAGATGGCGCCATTGCTCTTCAGCCTGGGCAACAGAGCGAGACTCCGTCTCAAAAAAAAAAAAAAAAAAAAAAAAAAAAAAGAACAGAGGACTCATGTAAGGGTGATTTGTTAAGGAATGCCCACAGGGAAGAGAGGGAGAGGTGCCCTAGACAGAGTCAGAGATGGTTGGAAGAAAACCAGACGAGTACCACACAGCCACTTTACCAAAACCAGTCTTTGGAGTTTTAAGACTAAGAGGTGGAGTAGAATGAGCATGATTTTTGAAGTTTCAGGTAGCGAGAGATCTTATTTGTAAGAATCTATAAAATCTATATTTTTTAATATAGAGTCTGGATTGATGTTTGATTCTTATCTTGATGACATTGCTTGGCGTTACATTTTACATTTGTTTGCAAACTACTTTTTAATTCAAATAATTTGATGATTTCCTTACACATATTGTAATGAAATCTTTGCTCTCTTACAGGTAGAGCTGAGTAAAGAAGAAGTAAAACGCCTCATTGCTGAGGCAAAGGAGAAATTGCAGTAAGTTTAGGACCAGATGAAATCTATATCTTAAATGATGATGACCATGTGGTCTTGTTATTAGAAGGTAGCATTTGGGTGATTCTCTTTTTCTTTCTGTGCTCATAGAGAAGAAGGTGGTGGCAGTGATGAAGAGGAGACAGGCAGTCCTTCAGAAGATGGCATGCAGAGTGCACGCACCCAGGCACGCCCAAGAGAGCCCCTGGAGGATGGTGACCCAGAGGATGACAGGACGCTTGATGATGATGAGCTGGCTGAGTACGACTTAGATAAATATGATGAGGAAGGTGACCCAGGTTAGTTTATCCACTTCTGATGGTTTGTAATTACAAGCTCAATATGTTGGATCATGTTTGTGGTGTTCCAAAGCTTTACTCTTAGATTTTATTGTTCTTGACATCAGTAAGATAATCTGGTTGAAGACTTGGGCAGACAGCATGATTCCTAAACTAGTTTAGAAGATAAACTCTAACCCACTAAGATACAAATCTAGGATCTAAAAAAAAAAGTACTGTGTATTTTATTGCATATATCAGGTTTAATAATCTGTAACCCACTTGTGAGTTTTTGTATGCAGTTATAATGCTATGGTGTGCTTGAACTTATATCCATATACCTTTTCCTCAACTGCAGTCAGTCTTCTCACAATACAGTAGTCCCCCCTTATCCACGGTTTTGCTTTCTTCGGTTTCAGTTAGCCACAGTCAACTGCAGTCTGAAAATAAGTGAGTAAAGTACAGTACTTTGGGAGAGATGACTTTCACATAACTTTTATTACAGTATATTATCATTATTTGATTCCTAGGTACATATAGGAAAAACATAATGTATATAAGGTTTGGTACTATCTGTGGTTTTAGACCACCACTGAGGGTCTTGGAATGTATCCCCCGTGGATAAGGGGGGACTACTGCCTGCATTTTGAGATGCTGTTCTTGGAGATAATTAGAAAAAGAGGCCAGGTGCACGTGACTCACGCCTGTAATCCCAGCACTTTGGGAGGCCGAGGCAGGTGGATCACTTGAGGTCAGGAGTTCGAGACCAGCCGGGCCAACATGGCGAAACCCTGTCTCTACTAAAAATACAAAACTTAGCCAGGCGTGGTGGCGCACATCTGTAATCCCAGCTACTCAGGAGGCTGAGGCAGGAGAATCACTTGAACCTGGGAGGCGGAGGTTGCAGTGAGCCAAGATCGTGCCACTGCACTCCAGCCTGGGTGACACAGTGGGACTCCATCTCAAAAAGAAAAAATCATGGGTGGGAAGAGAAAAAGGAAATAGAACAGAAGACAGATTAGAAGTAGAAGTTTGTATAGAAAGCCTCGTGGGGAATAAAGTGAGCTGAGATGACAACTACCTATATTGCTCTTCTGGGGAAAGTAGGTATAACGATAAATGGAAAAGGAGCTGACAAAGCTCGCTTTGTTTCTTTTGGAATGTGCTACCCTAGGTGGCACTAACTCCTAATCTTGGGGTTTGAGAAATAGGCATTTGGCACACTGAGCAGGTTAAGTAAGTTATTTACTTAACTTGTAAATCCCAGTTAGTCTGCATATTTGGGAGCTGAAGGGACTCCTGACAGCTAGAATCAGCTACTCCCAAGTTATAAAATCAAAATGTAGATGATCGGAAACAAAAATTAACTCTTAATACAAATGTTATCTGCAACAAAGTAAAATCACAACTACCTGTTAAATTGATGGTTAAAATATTACATAAGACATAGCAGAGCTGAGCGTGGTGGCTCATGTCTAATCCCAGCTACTTGGGAGGCTGAGGCAGCAGGATCGCTCAAGCCCAGGAGTTCAAGGCTGCAGTGAACTATGATCACACTGTATTCCATCCTGGATGACAGACACCATGTCTAAATAATAAAAAAGTTTAAAAAAGTTATAATCAGGCACTTAAAAATATCAGTATCTGTTAGAATATCGTTGAAATGCTGAGTAAAATAATATACTTTTTTTTGTGTGTGTGAGACGGAGTCTTGCTCTGTTGCCCAGGCTAGAGTGCTGTAGTGCAATCTCGGCTCACTGCAGCCTCTGACTCCCTAATTCAAGCAATTTTCCTGCCTTAGCCTCCCGAATGCTGGGATTACAGGCACATGCCACCACGCCCAGCTAATTTTCGTGTTTTTAGTAGAGACAGGGTTTCACCATGTTGGCCGGGATGGTCTCAATCTCCTGACCTCATGATCCGCCTGCCTCGGCCTGAAAAACTCCAGCAATGGGGAGAGGGAGAGTCGAAAATGACATTGAGGAAATAGTGTTAACTGTTAAAGCAAGGTAATTCAAGGTTCGTGATGCCCTCTCCACTTGTGTTCATTTTTCAAAATTTCTATAATACAACATTTAAAAAAAAATCAGACATGTACGGGTTGATGGTGAGCACTGTGGGGTATCTGGAAGAGCAGTGTAGTTGGAGTGTGGAAAGAATAGGACATGAGACATGGTCTGTGTTGGGCACAGGAAGATCAGTAAACAACAGACAGGCAATGAGAAATGAGTAAGTAGGCTCTGGGTAGAGATGGGATTGACCAAAGTCAATTAGCTGTCTTGTCCTGGATGCCTCAGGCAGGGCATGTTTGAGCACAGTAGATAACATTGTGGAGGCAGAACTGAGCCAAGTAAGAGGAAGATTCAGTGGAATGTGACAAACTATAGGAAGCCTTTAGTGCCAGAGCAATATTGAGCTTGACCTGATGTATGTGATGATACAGCCTGGAAAAAGACCCAAAGGAGGGGAAATGCTCGGCAAGTTGATCTGCATGAGTGAAGCACAGAGAAGGTGGATGGGCAGTTGCTGGGAAGTCTGGAAGAAAGACTTAATTGGGTCCCAGTAAACTTAGAATACCAGGCTTAGCAATCTGTGTGTTCTCTGTGCGAGAGGAAATCATTAAAGGTTTTTGAGCATGGAACACATAATAATGGAACATACACTTTAGGAAGTTAACTCTGGCAACAGTGGAGAACAGGTTGGCAGATAGGGTGAATCTCTTAGAGGAGCAGAAACTTAAGATAAATTAGGCCAGAAGCAATGAGGGCCTGGCTTGGGGCACTAGGAATGAGGAGGAGGACATGGAAGAAAGGGATTGCAGAGGTAGCTGGGAGTTTAGCATCATCCTAGTGGATGAACTCTCTTCCAGAATTGGTACGTCTGGTTTCCATCTTATTATCGCTGGTGTACCTCTTTTCTTTCAGACAAGAAGTAACCCTGATTTCCTCACTCCATCTGAATTGATTTTTATTGTCATTTATCCATTTTTCCATCTAGATGTTCATTCCTCCGTTTTCCTCATTCGCTTGGCCATCTGTCCTATGGATTACTATTAACTTCATTTTTCATTATCTGCAGTACTTAGAAAGGAATCATTACCTCCATTTACCAGCGGCACACAGCTGGTGAAAGACGGTGCTGAGTTTTGACCACTCTCGGGCTCTAAAGCCTTCATTCTTTTCACTGCATCTTTTCTATAGATACAGTCCAGCAGAGGATAGTTTTTTCTATTGGACTCTGGGTTATGGGCTCCAACCTTGTTAGGGACAGAGTGCCATAGAAATACAGAGAAACAAATAACCCAGCCTGGAGAGATGGCATTCAGAATCAGCTCTTTCTCGTGTAGCAGAAATTGCTTTCTCTGTTGCATATCAGATGTTTAAGACCTATCAGTCCTGCCTCCTTAAAGTGGCTTCCTCTAACAATTCAGTGTATCTTCCTTTTCCTGAGTTATCCTTTGTTACCATCGTAGATGTGCCATAAAAGAATAATTTAAGTTCAGTGGAAAAAGCATACTGCATTTCTTTTTTCATATGCCAATAAGGCATATTAGCATATCAGAACACGTGCAGTAGAGCAACCTGGTTAATTTTTTGAAACCTGTCATTTCTCAATTTTATTTGACCAGGCAACCCTTATTTATTATGTTGATTTCAGTGTTTCAGGGTCATTTTATTTCCAGGTCCTCAAGGCTGCCTCTCCGTATCACCTTCAATCATGAATGCAGGGAGCTAGCTAGAGAATCTCAAGAGAGTTCTCATATTTTCTAAAAGGGTCTAATTCCCTGATACAGTTCTTTCATTGGAAGATTGTGAATTCCAAGACTGTCTGAAATCCATTCCAAAGGTCAAATACAAAAATGGCTTTTAAATTCCTGCTGCTGCTTACGTAGTTTCCTTTCCCAACTCTAGATGATCCAGAGTTAGTTATAAAATAGATGATTGCATCTAAGTCCAAGAATGGATGTCATAGGAAATATGTTTTTGTCAAGATGACTATTTTATTATTGTAGTTTGTCAATTTTTCTTACAGATGCTGAGACTCTTGGTGAATCTCTCTTGGGTCTTACGGTCTACGGGAGTAATGATCAAGATCCTTACGTTACTCTGAAAGATACAGTAAGTATTTACATCTTTTTTCTAATTATGCTCTTAAGTGTTCAAAAAACCTTACTGGCTCTCTGCTTCTAGTCAATGACATTTTTTTCCTCTCACTTAGGAACAATATGAACGTGAAGATTTCTTGATTAAGCCCAGTGATAATCTTATAGTTTGTGGCCGAGCTGAACAGGACCAGTGCAATTTAGAGGTGCATGGTAAGTGATAAATCCCTTATTAAAAGATTTTCTAAGTGATGGTAAAATAATAAGTGAAATAGTTACCATTTCATTTTTAGGTGCCAGATCCTATTGTATCTCATTTAAGTTGGTTACATAGTTAACTTTTACACAGGTGGCCAATTTCTTGGTTATTGTTCTGGGTATGTGTAGTCCAGTACATCACTTTGGTATCTGAATTTTCTATGGAAATAAATCCCCTGGAAATTTTTCATAGGGGTGTTTTTTTTTGTTTTTATATATAAACAGGGTCTCACTGTGTTGCCCAGGCTGTCTCGAACTCCTGGGCTGACGTAATCCTGATTTGGCCTCCCAAAGTGCTGGGTGCTGGATTACAGGTGTGAGCCACCACACCTGGCCTCATAGAGGTTTTTAATCTTTTATTTAAATGTGATTGCCTGTTTTTCACTCCTCTCCTACTCCTGCTATAAAAAACCTGGAAGTAAAATTATATATAAAAATACAAGGCTGGGTGCGGTGTCTCACACCTGTAATCCCAGTACTTTGGGAGGCTGAGGTGGGAGGATTGCTCGAGCCCATGAGTTCTAGGCTACAGTGAGCTGTGATTCTGTTTGCTCCACTGTACTCCAGCCTGGGTGACAAAGACCCCATCTCTAGGGGAGAAAAAAATGTATAATCCCATTTCCCTGAGTTAATAACTTGCCACCTTGGTTTTTTACTCAATTTTTTTTTCTGGCTACTTTTTCTTTATGTGGATTATACTGGATAGACAGGTTTTTCTCATGTTTTTTAAATAGAGTTATTTCAGATATTTCCCCTTTGCAAAACATTTTATTTTCTTCCTAATAATTCAACACAAAGGGCCACGTTTCTTTTTTGGAACCAAAACATCGTGATCACCTTTCTTACTTAAGGAATATTTGTATCAAAGCCAGAAGCGGATGCTTTGCAGTAATCAGAAGTAGGCATGAAAATAGGAATTTTTAAATTGTATTTTTAAATGTTGTTTTTGATTTAATATTAATTGAATGGCTTGCCTCACTTTGGTGTTTTTAATGTAAAATCTGTTTTTTATATGCTAAAAGTAGACTTGCACAATGTCTGGCGCACTCTGCCTACAGATTCTCCGTTTTGTTTTTCTTGTCCCTTCCACTGCGCTCATATCCTCAGACAAGTCCATCCTTGCCCGATACTCTCCTCCCCCAGCAGTCTTCAGATCGTCTTGAAACTTTGAAGATTCGAAGAGATTATTAGGCTGATAAGTCCTTTTGTTATAGGAAACACAGTTGCACAGCTTGAAAAAATAAAACCCTTAGGCTTAATGTTTATCGCCATCTTCTAGGTTGCTTCATCATGGCTTCCATTGATTAGCTTGGATTTCTGTTACCTCTTCAGAATCTTTAAGGCTGTCCGTGGGAAGCCTATAGATTAGGCCCATTTTATCTCATGGCTCATTGTGATCTGTTTATGCATAGCAGGCACTTTAATGTGAAATTATTCTTTCTAACTCTTGATATCTTTGAACTTTTACATATTTCAAATGAAAACCATTTGTTTACTTTGCTTTTAAGACCAATTCTAATTTCAAAAAATTGAGAACCTATTAGAGTTTTTTTTGTCATCATCGATTTTTTTATGCATTCTTACCTGAGAACTTAACAGTCATTCCTTTGAACTCAGGATCAAAGAGGAGCTGAGAAAGAAGTTAAAGCTGTTATATTTCCATTTCCTTCTCAGTTAGGTTATTATAGATATACTTTATTATTTGGGTTTGGAAGGAATCTCCAAATTGCCCAGTATGTGTGTGCAAGAATAACTTCAAATTTATATTCTAAAACTGATCCGAATATTGATCTCACGTGGTTAAGAGTATATTTTAAAGTATTATTACCAGTTGCTGGGCGTAGTGACTCATGCTTGTAATCCCAGCAATTTGGGAGGCCAAGGCGGGCGGATCACGAGTTCAGGAGATCGAGACCATCCTGGCTAACACGGTAAAACCCAGTCTCTACTAAAAATACAAAAAAAAAAAAAAAAATCAGCCAGGCGTGGTGGCGGGCGCCTGTAGTCCCAGCTACTCGGGAGGCTGAGGCAGGAGAATGGCGTGAACCTGGGAGGCAGGGCTTGCAGTGGGCTGAGATCGTGTCACTGCACTCCAGCCTGGGCGACAGAGCAAGACTCCATCTCAAAAAAAAAAAAGTTATTACCAATTTTATGTAAAATGTAAGCTGAGTATATCGAACATGGTTGAGGTTTTTGTAGAACCACAGTCTAATAATTTTGAACATGAATTCTCATCACAGGGATGTGATAGAGCATTACACAAATCTGCTAATCCCAGGATCTATTCCAGAAGCAGCAATCTGAGGAATTAAAAATAAAATCCTTAATTTATTATATATTTACCTCCTTCTTAATACAAAGCATATGGGGAGGGGTTCTGACTAGTGGGTTCTGTTTTATCAGTGTTTCACTGTGTAATTTTTAAAAGACTTCTTACTCATTGATTTTACAATGTTTTTGCTGCTTAACATTACAGCTGTGAATATTAAGGAGCTGTTGCCATATTCCAAAAGTATGTCCTCAGGAGCTTTGTTTACATTGTTCATCTTCATAAACCTTTTTTAAAAATATTAAGAGTAATTTTTGATAAGCATTTAGATTTCCAAATATGAATTATTTCTCTCCCATGCTATTTTTGGTTTGTTCTTTTTGACTTATAATCAGCTAGACCATTAAAAGATAAAATAATAACTACTTCTTGTAGTTATGAACATTATGAACTTATGAACATTTGTTTTCTATGAATGACCTAGAAGACAGGACCATTTATCTGACAAGGATGCAGGTGGACTATCAGATGTCAGTGTTCATTTTCTCCTGTGGGGTATGCCACAAGATGGCACTGTATTAGACATGCAGAATTTTTGCCTAGTCATGATATTGGAATCTTTTTTTTTTTTTTTTTTTTTGAGATAGAGTCTCACTATGTCGCCCAGGCTGGAGTGCAGTGGTGCGATCTCAGCTCACTGCAACCTCCACCTCCCAGGTTCAAGCTATTCTCCTGCCTCAGCCTCCCTAGTAGCTGGGACTACAGGCACGTACCACCACACCCAGCTAATTTTTGTATTTTGAGTAGAGACGAGGTTTCATTGTGTTGGCCAGGCTGGTCTCGAACTCCTGACCTCAAGTGATCCGCCCACCTTGGCCTCCCAAAGTATTGGGATTACAGGCACGAGCCACTGCGCCCAGCCTGGAATCTCTTTATAATATCAGATGTCTCACTTTAAAGCACATGGCTCACGTACATTTAATAGAATTTGTTTTTTTGAGCGGGATGTGATTTTTGATGACTCATTCTGATACATTAAAGTCTCTTTTCCCAATCTTTTCAGTTTATAATCAAGAAGAAGACTCTTTTTATGTACACCATGATATACTCTTGTCTGCATATCCTCTGAGTGTGGAATGGCTGAATTTTGATCCTAGCCCAGATGATTCTACTGGTAATTAGAAAACTTAAGGTTGTTCAATGATTTCCAGTCTTATGTATTTTCTCCTAGCTCCATAAATTATGTATTCTCTTGAATGTTTTCAGAATTGTTGCTGATATTTTCTGAAGTTACTGTTATTTTATGAAGTTATAGAGTTCTTAACACACCATCACTTTATTGTTTGGGGTTCATAAATCCCCAGACTTCAGGTAGGCTAAGGAGGTAGCTGCTCTACTACAGGCTGAAGGACAGGGCCTGAAGCCTTTTGGACTGTAGAACTGTAAAGGTCCCATAAAGACTCAGTATAAATGGCCTGATATGTGAGATGTTACCAGCTAGAGTTCAGTGGCATAACCTGTTTTAGAAAACATAAGCTAAAACCGAAATGAAGAGGCTTGTCACAAGTAATTAGGTTTTCATGTTAGTCTTTGTAACCACATCTGCACACTATTAGTTGCCCCTGTCCGTACTTTTTAATAAAGGTAAACACTGTTTATACTGTCTTACGTCTTGTTTGCACACCTTGTTCACATTCATGATCTGATCTGATCTTCATCCCCACAGCACCCCATGAAGGAGGACGGGAGGAGGGTTATTCTCGTTATATAAATGAAAACACTGGGGCCAAGAGATTGAGCCTTTCCTACTCAAATTGTGGCCCAAAGACCAGCAGCAGCACAGCATGGTTATCACCTGTGACCTAGTTAGAAATGCCCACCCAGAACCACCTGAAATACAATCTGCATTTGTAACATTCAGATGCCGCATATGCATATAAGTTTGAGAAGCACTGCTCTAAAGCATTTTTCAGTTAATCTACAGTATAATGTATTTGATTAGAAGTTCTGTATGTCTTTTTTTGTGTAATCATACATGCATTGTTTCCTCCCATAGGAAATTACATTGCTGTAGGAAACATGACCCCTGTTATTGAAGTGTGGGACCTTGATATAGTGGACTCTTTAGAGCCAGTCTTCACACTCGGAAGTAAACTTTCAAAAAAGAAGAAAAAGAAAGGAAAGAAGGTAAAGAAGTTAATAAATATTTAAACTCTAATGACAGAGGTAAGTTTACTCGGGAGTAGGGGTGAAGGGTAAGACCGTACACTTTTTCAATCAGGTATTCTTGGTGAGATGGGGTAGGTAGTTATGAAATTATTGTAATTTTTAGTTTTGAAAAGGCCATCCAAAGAAAACTTATTTCTGATTACATAAAACCTCCATTATCATGTTGTTCTTTCTTACACAAAACTAGTTCAAAGCTAGTATATTAATATGAATAGCTACTATAGATGAAGGACTTTCGGATTATGAGCCTCCTCCAAATACAGTAGCTATTTATACAGATATACCAACCTTGAACTTTAAAAAAATTTCTGTTATCATGTTGAATTCTAATTATCCATGTATTAACTCCTGCAGCTTTTAAAATCGTTAGGTTTTATGAGGGTTGGGAGCTATATTGATACTTGTATAATTACAGTACCTAGATTAAGAACTGCTAGGCCAGGCCACGCACGTGGCTCACTCCTGTAATCCCAGCAGTTTAGGAGGCTGAGGCGGGTGGATCACCTGAGGTCAGGAGTTCGAGACCAGCCTGGCCAACATGGTGAAACCCTGTCTCTACTAAATATACAAAAATTAGCCAGGCATGTTGGTGTGTTCCTGTAATCCCAGCTACTTGGGAGGCTGAGGCAGGAGAATCACTTGAACCTGGGAGGCAGAGGTTGCAGTGAGCTCACACCACTGCACTCCAGCCTGTGTGACAGAGCGAGACTCTGTCTCAAGGGAAAAAAAAGAACTGCTAGGCCAGTCATAGTAGCTCACGCCTATAGTCCTAGCACTTTGGGAGGCCAAGGTGGGAGGAGTGCTTGAGCCCAGGAGGTTGAGGTTGCAGTGAGCCATGATTGTGTGCCACTGCACTCCAACCTGGGTGACAGAGCGAGATTTTGTCTCTAAAAAAATAAACTACTATAGTTTCTTCCCTGTTCCTTGTAATGAAATTTTTTTCTTTATTTTTCTTTTTTAAAGAGGTAAGGTCTTGCTCTGTCTCCCAAGACTGGAGTGCAGTGGCACGATTATAGTTCACTGCAGCCTGAAACGCCTAGGCTCAAGAGATCCTGGGATTCTCCTGCCTCAGCTTCCTGAGTAGCTGGGACTATAGGCGTATGCTGCCATGCCTGGCTAAGTTTTGACTTTTTTGTAAAGACAGAGTTTCGCTATGTTGCCTGGGCTGGTCTCGAACTCCCGGCCTCAAGCGATGTTCCCACGTTAGCTTCCCAAGGTCCTGGGATTACAGTGTGGGCCGCTGCACCCAGCCCCTGTAATGAAATTAATCATGAGTCTCTAACAGGGAGACAAGGTTTTATTTATTTTATTCTTCAAAAGTTTATATAATATCAAAACAATAGGTCGGGTGCAGTAGCTCACACCTGTAATCCCAACACTTTGGGAGGCCGAGAGTGGATCATGAGGTCAGGAGTTCCTGACCACCCTGGCCAACGTGGCAAAACCCTGTCTCCACAAAAAATATAAAAATTAGCTGGGCATGGTGGCATGCGCGTGTAATCCCAGCTACTTGAGAGGCTGAGGCAGGAGAATCGCTTGAATCCAGGAGGTGGAGGTTGCAGTGAGCTGAGATCGTGCAACTGCACTCTAGCCAGGGCAACAGACAAAGACTCCGTCTCAAAACAAAACAAAACAAAATAATCTTAAGGTTTAAAGAATTTTGCAGATTAATATATTCAGTTTTATTATGAGGGGGACTTTAATACAAAAAATAATTAAAACAATTATTACAGAGTTCCTCAGCAGAAGGGCATACCGATGCTGTCCTTGACCTTTCATGGAATAAGCTAATCAGGTAAAAAGAAATAACATTTGAATGATTGTAAAAGACTGTAGCCATTGTGATCTTACCTCATGCCTACACTCATCTCTTTATTTGTGCTGTGGACCTTTGTGTCTATCTTCCTTTCTTGTAGGATGCCCTGCTTGCAGGCAGGAGCTCTGTCATCTGTTTCTTTGCATCCTCCAGGTCACCTGCCAGCTCATCACTGTGGGTGCTCATTGCATGTTTGGTGACCAAGTGCCCTCTCTCCACCACCACTGGAAAAAAACAGGGTGTTTGGCAGTGCCCATGGTGCAGTAGGATTGTGTTTCTTCCCAGGAGACATTTTTCTCTGTTTAGTTTTCACATCTCACCACATACTCTTTTATTCTTTTTTCTTTAAATTATGGCAAAATACATATAACATAAAAGTTAACACTTGTATTAGTCTGTCTTCATGCTGCTAATGTAGACATACTCGAGGCTGGGTAATATGTAAAGGAAAGAGGTTTAATTGATTCACAGTTCTGTATGGCTGGGGAGGCCTCACAGTTATGGCAGAAAGCAAATGAGGAGCAAAGTCATGTCTTATATAGTGGCAGGCAGGAGAAAGGGCATGTGCAGAGGAACTCTCCTTTATAAAACCGTCAGATCTTGTGAGACCCATTCACTATCATGAGAACAGCACAGGAAAGACCTGTCCCCATGATTCCATTACCTTCCACCTGGTCCTTCCCACAACACATGGGAATTATGGGAGCTACAATTCAAGATGAGATTTGGGTGGGGACATAGCCAAATCCTATCACCATTTTTACCATTTTTAAGTGTGCAGTTCAGTGGCTTTCAGTACATTCACAGAGTTGTGCAACCATCACCACAATGCATCTCCAGAACATTTTCATCTCCGTACTGCAGCTCTGCCCTTTAAACACTGACTCCCCATTTCCCCCACCCCCAGCCCTGGCAACCACCACTCCACTTTCTGTCTCCATGAATTTGACTAAGCATCTCATATGAATGGAATCATACAGACTTACTTCTTTGCAACTGGCTTATTTGACTTAATGTCTTCAGGTTCAGTCATGTTCCAATAAGTGTCAGAGTTTCTTCCTTTTTAAGGCTAAATAATATTCCATTGTATGTAATGTATGTTACCCGTTCATTTACGTGTGGTCACCTGGATTGCTTCTTCTGCCTTTTGGATACTGTGAATAATGCTGCTATGAATGTGGGTGTACAAATATTCAAGTCCCTGCTTTCAGTTGTTTTGAGTATGTACCCAGAAGCGTTATTACTGAATCTTATGGTAATTCTATTTTTAATTTTTTGAGGAGCCACCATACTATTTTCCATAATGGCTGCACCATTTTACATTTTCACCAACAATGCACACAAGGGCTCTAGTGTCTCCAAAATTTGTTATTTTCTGTTTTTCATAATAGCCATCCTAATGGGTATGAAGTGGTATATCATTGCGGTTTTAATTTGCATTTCCCCCCCTTTTTTTAAGGTAAGATGGGGGTCTATGTTGCTAAAGCTGGTCTCAAATTCTTGGGCTCAAGCAATCCCCCCGCCTCAGCTTCCCAAGTCACTTGGAGTACAGGGGCTTGCCACCACACCTGGCTTAATCTGCATTTCTTAACGATTAGTGATGTTGAGCATCTTTGTTTTGTGCTTATTGGCCATTTGTGTATCTTCTTTGGGAGAAATGTTTTTCAAGTCCTTTGCTTACTTTTTTTTGAGACAGGGTCTCACTCTGTCACCCAGGCTGGAGTGCAGTGGCACAATCACTGCTCACTGTAGTCTTGACCTTCTGGGGCTCAGGTGATCCTCCCACCTCAGCCTCCCAAAGTGCTGGGATAACAGGCATGAGCCACCAAGCCTGGCCTCCCTTTGCCTGTTTTTTGTGTTTGATGTTGAATTTTTGGAGTTAAAACTAACTCCTACTACCAAATACATGATTTGCAAATATTTTCTTCTATTCTGTGGGTTGTTTTTTCACTTTCTTGGTGCTATCATTTGCAGCACAGGTTTTTCATGTGATGGTGTCTACTTTATTTCTTTTGTTGTTCATGCTTTTGATGTTGTATCTAGCAAACCATCGCTTAAGTCAGGGTCATGAAGGTTTACATGTATGTTTTCTTCTGAGTTTTATAGTATTAGCTCTTACATTGAAGTCTATGATCCATTTTGAGTTTTTTTTGTGTGTATGGTGTGAGGTAGGGGTCCAACTTCATTCTTTTTCATGAGGATGATTCATTTGTCCCTGAACCATTTGTTTTTGTTTTGTGTGAGACAGGGTCTTACTCTGTCACCCAGGCTAGAGTGAGTGGTGTGATCTCAGCTCACTGCACCCCCCACCTCTGGGGTTCAAGTGATTCTCCTGCCTCAGCCTCCTGAGTAGCTGGGATTACTGGTGCATGCCACCATGCCTGGCTAATTTTTGTATTTTTAATAGAGACAGGGTTTCACCATGTAGGCCAGGCTTGTCTCAAACTCCGGACCTCAAGTGATCTGCCTGCCTCTGCCTTGCAAAGTGCTGGGATTATAGGCATGAGCCACCGCGCCCAGCCCCATTTGTTAAGACTTTTTTCCCCATTGAACATTTAATTACCTTAGTACCCTTGTCAAAAACCAGTGACTATAAATGTTTATTTCTGGACTGTTAGTTGTAGTCCATTAATCTGTATGTCCTTATGCCAGTAGCACATTGTTGTGATTGCTGTAGATTTTCAGTAAGTTTTGATGCCAGGAAATATGAACTTGCCAACTTTGTTCTTTTTTTCAGTACTATTTTGGCTATTCTAGGTTCCTTGCATTTTTAGAATCAGCTTGTCACTTTTTTTTTAAGTCTAATACTAATAATAGTAGTACATCCTGTTTTGTTTTGTTTTGAGACAGAGTCTCACTCTGTTGCTCAGGCTGGAGTCCAGTGACGTGATCTTGGTTCTCTGCAACCTCCGCTTTTTGGGTTCAAGCTATTCTCGTGCCTCAGCCTCCTGAGTAACTGGGATTACAGGCATGCGCCACCATGCCCAGCTAATTTTTTGTATTTATAGAGAAGGGGTTTCACCATGTTGGCCAGGCTGGTCTTGAACTCCTGACCTCAAGTGATCCACGTGCCTCAGCCTCCCAAAGTGCTGGGATTACAGGTGTGAGCCACTGTGCCTGGCTGTGAATCAGCTTGTCACTTTCTGTAAAAAGAAAGAAAAAAGTCATCAGAGATTTTGAAAGAGATTGGTTGAATCTGTAGATCAGTTTATAGCTCCATCTGTAGATGTAATATTTCCATATTAACACTATTAAGTCTTCTAATACATGAACATGGGGTTTCTTTCCACTTATTTAGATACTCTTGTTTCCTTTCATAATCTTCGGTAGTTTTCATTATGTAAGTCTTACATTTCTTTTGTTAAATTTATTCCTAAGTATTTTATTCTTTCTGATGCTATTGTAAATGCAATCCTTTTCTCATATTTAATGCTCTTGACTTTTAAAAGATTACCTGATTGGATTCTTCCCTTTCTCAGAAATGTTTTAGCAAGTGCATCAGCTGACAACACTGTAATTCTGTGGGATATGTCCTTGGGGAAACCAGCAGCTAGCCTCGCTGTACACACAGACAAGGTATGGTGATTTAGTTGATCACAGCGGTTCTTAAAAATCGGACACAAATATTGGCTAAAAATAATCCCAAACGTTTATATATGGCTTTGAAAATAATTTTATCTGGCTTGCGGCATGCTTTCACATGTTATCTCTTAGGATTTTCACAAAGCCCTGTGTGGTAGGTATAATGCCCATCTTAGAGATGAAAAAATGGGTACAGAAAGGTACGGTTACTAGGAACATTAGTGCCCTGTAACATATTTATAGAGGCTCCTAAAAAAGGATGAGGTCTGTCAGTCACAATGGTAACACCCATTACTGTGTTATTCCCCAGGAATCTAATGCAGATTATTTTGGGACTTCTGGAGCATGGGGAATTCACCAGATGGGTTTGACTACTTCCCTTTTTCTTCTGAGTATCTTCTAACATTTGAGGGACTAAGTATTCTGCCAAACAGTTTGGGGAAACTACATTTTCTTTAAGTGCCAGCCTTTATGTGGGAGCATGGTTTGCCCTTTGATTATGCAGTACATTTATGTTTCTTTTGTTTACTGTATTTCAGAGGGACGCATTTATAGAAATACTGTCAAATAGATTCTTACCACATGTTAGGTAATTTTACGAAAAGCAAACCAACAGAGATCTCTGCATTTATGTTTCCTCCCTTTAGGTCCAAACACTGCAGTTTCATCCATTTGAAGCACAGACTCTGATTTCTGGCTCATATGATAAGTAAGAAAGCACAGCAAGAATGATTGCTACTCTGTTTTTATCCTCTAGAAGTCATTTTAAGAGTATCACTTGGTACCCAGGCAGAATGTATCCTTGAGGCCACCTTTATGTTTAAATTATTTGCACTACTTATTTTTCCTTTTAACTCTGGTCCTTTCAGTCTACAACGGAACATGATTCTGTCATAATAATATAACTGTAGGAACTAGCAACTTCTTTGGCTTTTAGAGGCTGTACTTTGCCTTTATGGGAAGAATTTCCATGTCACATGACAGAGGGCATGGATATAGGGAGACATGAAGAACTGGGGCCACTGTGGTCAACCACGGGGTTTATAGCTCATATCAGTGCTCCTTTTTACAGATTGGGTCTACAGGTAGGAGAAACAGATAGTAGAAGCCAAAACCAACTTTGCAGTCTTTATTTTCATTTCTTATCCTCTTGAAGCATGATATGTTTACATTTCTTGTGATTCACGCAGAATTACAAAAGTGCATCCCTTGCTTCCCCTAACATGATAAACTGCTTATGGAGAGTAAGTGTGCCTAAGACATGAGTAACCTGGCTCTGAGCTCGGCCAGAGAAGGGGAAATTAGAAATTGTCCTGGGCTTTTGGACATAGAGAGGATTCTTCTTGCGAGTGGAAGATTTGACCTGGAGAAGGTCAAAACCACTGTAACGTTAGAGGCACCAGTGCCTTCAAGTGTTAAGATCAGAATCCACCAATTACTGAAACTCAGCTCATTTTTTTTCTACTTTATTTAGAACCTTAAAACAGGCTTTAAATGAATCTTGATTTCACAGTGCTATTTTATTACTATTTCATTATAAATAAAACATATAGGAGAATTGAACTCTTAAAACCCTAACTTTGCCTGAATGTGTCTAGGTCAGTGGCTTTGTATGACTGCCGAAGTCCAGATGAAAGCCATCGAATGTGGCGATTCAGTGGGCAGATAGAGAGAGTGACTTGGAATCACTTTTCACCTTGTCATTTCTTGGTAAGAGTACGAATGTTGTTGTTTTGCTTTTCTAGGTTGCTAATGACTTTTTAAATTCCATAGTAGAGAGAATTATCTGAAAAGCTTTTTCTGTTTTAACAGTATGAAGTATTTGGGTTTAGGGTTGAAAGCATAAGGTGTTTTTTTTTAAATAAGAGAACGGCTCTTACTTAAAAAGCAGTGAACATGTAAATGATTTTGCTGGTTGCCGGCCATTCCAAAGTGTGCCACGTTTTATTTAATGATTTTGATCATTTTATTGTAGTGTTGTTTGAAATACTAAGCATAGTTAGTATTTTTTGTTTTTTTTAATGGCTAAATCAGTCCAAGATGATATTCTTTTCTTTAAATCCTCATGCTTAAATGGATCTCTAGTGATGAGAATGCTAACCTGTTAATTTGTAGCACTATCTCCCAAATAGGAAAAAAAGTATAAGACCTCTGTCTAAATACCCTTATTATCTAAGGAGGACAATGATTTTCCACATAGCATCCAAAGATTCCACTGACATTTCAGTACATGTAAAAAGAAAAGCCCAGCTTTCATCCAGAGCAAAGATTAGTTAAATTTGTTGCCCAGTTTTCCTGAAGTAAATATGTAGTGCTTTGCAAAGGTGAGAAAGAGTTTTTTTTTTTTTTTAAATTTAAGTTCTAGGATACATGTGCACAACGTCCAGGTTTGTTACATATGTATACATGTGCGATGTTGGTGTGCTGCACCCATTAACTTGTCATTTACATTAGGTATATCTCCTAATGCTATCCCTCCCCCTCCCCCCACCCCACGACAGGCCCCAGTGTGTGATGTTCCCCTTCCTGTGTCCAAGTGTTCTCATTGTTCAATTCCCACCTATGAGTGAGAACATGCAACGTTTGGTTTTCTGTCCTTGCGATAGATAGTTTTCTGAGAATGATGGTTTCCAGCTTCATCCATGTCCCTACAAAGGACATGAACTCATTCTTTTTTATGGCTGCATAGTATTCCATGGTGTATATGTGCCACATTTTCTTAATCCAGTCTATCATTGATGGACATCTGGGTTGGTTCCAAGTCTTTTCTATCGTGAATAGTGCCACAATATGCACTATATGTATGTGCACATATGCACATACGTGTGCATGTGTCTTTATAGCAGCATGATTTATAATCCTTTGGGTATATACCCAGTAATGGGATGGCTGGGTCAAATGGTATTTTTAGTTCTAGATCCTTGAGGAATTGCCATACTGTCTTCCACAATGGTTGAACTAGTTTACAGTCCCACCAACAGTGTAAAACTGTTCCTATTTCTCCACATCTCTCCAGCACCTGTTGTTTCCTGACTTTTTAATGATCGCCATTCTAACTGGTGTAAGATGGTATCTCATTGTGGTTTTGATTTGCATTTCTCTGATGGCCAGTGATGATGAGCATTTTTTCATGTGTCTGTTGGCTGCATAAATGTCTTCTTTTGAGAAGTGTCTATTCATATCCTTCGCCCACTTTTTGATGGGGCTGTTTTTTTCTTGTAAATTTGTTTGAGTTCATTGTAGATTCTGGATATTAGCCCTTTGTCAGATGAGTAGATTGCAAAAATTTTCTCCTATTCTGTAGGTTGCCTGTTCACTCTGATGGTAGTTTCTTTTGCTGTGCAGAAGCTCTTTAGTTTAATTAGATCCCATTTATCAATTTTGACTTTTGTTGCCATTGCTTTTGGTGTTTTAGACATGAAGTCCTTGTCCATGCCTATGTCCTGAATGGTATTGCCTAGGTTTTCTTCTAGGGTTTTTATGGTTTTAGGTCTAACATTTAATTTAAGTCTTTAATCCATCTGGAATTAATTTTTGTATAAGCTGTGAGGAAGGGATCCAGTTTCAGCTTTCTACATATGGCTAGCCAGTTTTCCCAGCACCATTTATTAAATAGGGAATCCTTTCCCCATTTCTTGTTTTTGTCAGGTTTGTCAAAGATCAGATGATTGTAGATGTGTGGTATTATTTCTGAGGGCTCTGTTCTGTTCTATTGGTCTACATCTCTGTTTTGGTACCAGTACCATGCTGTTTTGGTTACTGTAGCCTTGTAGTATAGTTTGAAGTCAGGTAGCATGATGCCTCCACCTTTGTTCTTTTGGCTTAGGATTGTCTTGGCAATGTGGGCTCTTTTTTGGTTCTATATGAACTTTAAAGTAGTTGTTTCCAATTCTGTGAAGAAAGTCATTGGTAGCTTGATGGGGATGGCATTGAATCTACAAATTACCTTGGGCAGTATGGCTATTTTCACAATATTGATTCTTCCTATCCATGAGCATGGAATGTTCTTCCATTTGTTTGTGTCCTCTTTTATTTCGTTGAGCAGTGGTTTGTAGTTCTCCTTGAAGAGGTCCTTCACATTCCTTGTAAGTTGGATTCCTAGGTATTTTATTCTCTTTGAAGCAATTGTGAATGGGAGTTCACTCATGATTTGGCTGTTTGTCTATTATTGGTGTATAAGAATGCTTGTGATTTTTGCACATTGATTTTGTATCCTGAGACTTTGCTGAAGTTGCTTATCAGCTTAAGGAGATTTTGGGCTGAGACAATGGGGTTTTCTAGATATACAATCATGTCATCTGCAAACAGGGACAATTTGACTTCCTCTTTTCCTAATTGAATACCCTTTATTTCTTTCTCCTGCCTGATTGCCCTGGCCAGAACTTCCAACACTGTGTTGAATAGGAGTGGTGAGAGAGGGCATCCCTGTCTTGTGCCAGTTTTCAAAGGGAGTGCTTCCAGTTTTTGCCCATTCAGTATGATATTGGCTGTGGGTTTGTCATAAATAGCTCTTATTATTTTGAGATATGTCTCATCAATACCGAATTTATTGAGAGTTTTAGCATGAAGGGCTGTTGAATTTTGTCAAAGGCCTTTTCTGCATCTATTGAGATAATCATGTGGTTTTTGTCTTTGGTTCTGTTTATATGCTGGATTACGTTTATTGATGTGTGTATGTATGTTGAACCAGCCTTGCATCCCAGGGATGAAGCCCACTTGATCATGGTGGATAAGCTTTTTGATGTGCTGCTGGATTCGGTTTGCCAGTATTTTATTGAGGATTTTTGCATCGATGTTCTTCAGGGATATTGGTCTAAAATTCTGTTTTTTCGTTGTGTCTCTGCCGGGCTTTGGTATCAGGGTGATGCTGGCCTCATAAAATGAGTTAGGGGGGAAAGAGTTTTTTAAAAACAGCTTTCTCAAAAGATGTGGACAATTTTAGTAAGATTCATGAAGTAATGATTCTGAGATACTTAATCTCAATTCTGCACGATTAGTAGAGGTGCATGCTGTTCTAGCCAGGCAGCCTGAAGCCTGACTTATTTTTACAATGATCATTCCAGTTGTACTTGAATGTTGTGTTGTACTTCGGCTCTCACTCTTCAGGTACGCAACTTCCAGAGATTATTTGCTAACAAATGGTCATATATATTAGAATCCCAAATATTTAGGGAAGTGAGAGGTTAAAGTAGATGAAATGGTTCACCTGCTTCCCTCTCATCTCAAAAGAAGAGCCAAGCCTTCTCTTCCCTGGCCTAGCAGTCAGACTGCCTCAGCCGTCCTTTCTTTATCCTTTTTTCTTGTACTGGCTGTTGCCCTTGGCCTGTATACAGGCTCAGGTTTCTGTCTCCCATTTTTGGCTCTGTATCTGTCTCTTAATTCCTTCATTTCTTCTTTCTTTCTTGACAGTGTAACAATGCACTCTAATCTGCCTTTCATTCCTAAGTTCCTTATCTGATTGAATTTCTCTGCCACACTGGTCGATTTGACTGTTGGTCACGCCTTGGTTCCTTGACACTCTTCCCTATCCCTTCTTCCCTCTCTGACTCACTTCTGTGGATGCTTCCTCAGCCTGCAACTTGAGTAGCCATGCTCACCAGGCCTGTGTTCACGTGGATGTAACTATGGCCTCTTTTCTTCTACTGCTCTAGCCCCATTCCAGACCATTCACCACAGCTTCATACTCATATCCAGTAGACATGTCAACTGAATTAGCCCATGTGAGTGCAAACTCAGGTCGTCCAAAAGTAAATGATTTCTGTCCATGTTAATTTTTCATAAGTTCCACCAGTAAGTCATATAGCTGATTTTCACTATGACTTAGACTTTTTACCCATTGTTAGATTTTGTGACGTAGCATGACCTTGCCCATCTTTTACTCTTTCTAGGCCAGTACAGATGACGGCTTTGTATATAATTTGGATGCACGTTCAGATAAGCCAATTTTTACACTTAATGCACACAATGATGAAATCTCTGGTGAGCAAGAGTAATGCTTCTTTCATTTTTCTTAACTTATGATGAAGTAAATCTGTATTTCAAAGCGAAAGTGTCTAAACTTATCTTCCTTTAGGTCTTGATCTTAGCAGTCAAATCAAGGGCTGTCTCGTGACTGCTTCAGCTGACAAATACGTGAAGATCTGGGACATCTTAGGAGATAGGCCAAGTCTAGTTCATTCTAGGGACATGAAAATGGTAAGAATCTCCCTGGGTATCTGTTTTTTATTTATTCTGTTTCTGACCTTGTCTTTTTCTGGAACTTGTGTTGCGTGTTTTTCTGTTGGAACTATTGCATTAACAAATATGGATGTGTTGGGGAAGTGAATTTTGAGTTTAGTCAAATTTGGTGGGATTTTATGACTTAGAACGCTTTGTGGGGAATTCAGTGACTGGTTCTTTTCCAACTCACATGATTAACAGTTGCTTGGTAAGGCTGGGGAGAGGGTTTTCTAGGACACAAGTGAAATGGCTGCTTTTTTTTTTTTTTTTTAAAACCCTGAAATCAAGACCATCCCAAGAAATCTTGAACCTCAGGGCACCGTAGCTATTAGGGTCAGTTTATGTATCTTTATCTCTTTGCATAACTAGTTCTGACTACACTGAAACAAATTACTATATAGTAGGAAAAATTTAGAAATAACCAGATTCACTCAAGAAATATTTACTGAGCACCTACTGTATGCCAACCACTGAGTTATATAAGTTAGACTGCAGACACAGTAACACTGCACAGCTGTTGAAAATTGTGTATGAATAAATATATATAAATATAATGGAAAAACAGGTTACAGAAGCAATTTTTGTAGTACCATCTCATGCTTATTTTTAAGTGCATAATTGCCTAAATGCTTACATTTAACTCTAGTAGATTATATCCCAGAACATAAACCGTGGTTACCTCCCTGAGAGATTTTCATATATTTTTCTTGTTCATATTTTCTATAACAAATATATATTACCTATTAATAAAAATGTAAAAAAGAAAACAAAGTTTAAAAATGATTTAAACTGGCATCATTGTTATTGTTTAAAAGGACAGCTAAAGTTTCTGGAAATACATGGCACATTAGGTTTGTTAGGAAATCCCTAAGAGACAGAGTGATAACGAAGATGAGTGGCCTGAGTGGTCAGAAGTTGCAGATATCATTGTGGAAGAACCAGCATGCTGCGCTTGTCTGGCTTCATATTGTAGTACTAGCCCTTCTGACTTGACTCTGAGCTACCTTTGCAGTAGGCTTGAAAGTGAGAATCATAAGTTGGTTTTGAATAACCATTTAAATCATAGATTCTTAGAGACAACAGTGAGGATCTAGATATTAGCGCTTTCTGAAGAGATTGAAATCACCATCTTCCTGTTCTCTCTCTAGGGAGTTCTCTTCTGTTCTTCATGTTGCCCTGATTTGCCATTTATTTATGCCTTTGGAGGTCAAAAAGAAGGGCTTCGGGTCTGGGATATAAGCACAGTCTCTTCAGGTAAGGATTTTTAGTTCTCTGCACACCTCCCCCTGCCCCTGTAAAAAAAAAAAAAAAAAAAAAGACAGGGTCTCACCATGTTGCCCAGGCTGGTCTCAAACTCCTGGCCTCAAGCAATCCTTGGTCCTCAGCCTTCTGTATAGCTGGGATTACAGGTGTGAGCCATCATGCTGGCCTCTCCTCTTTCTGAATGAGTTCTGTAAGGACTGACACAGAATGTGTGACTTGAATTGTTTCTCAGCATTTTGGCTAAGACCAAGTGCAGAATGTGTGTCCTGACTACATCAGGAAGATAGCAAAAGTAGTGTAGTCTTTTTAGGAAAGAGACAAGATCAGATGTAATTGGTAATGTTTGTTCATGTTCACAAATAAGTTTGTCTTCACACTTTTAAGTGTAGATCATTTAAGGCCGAGACCAGCTCGGTTGGGGAGACCCTAACCCAGTGGCGCTAGAGGAATTAAAGACACACACACAGAAATATAGAGATGTGAAGTGGGAAATCAGGGGTCTCACAGCCTTCAGAGCAGACAGCCCCGAACAGAGATTTACCCACATATTTATTAACACCAAACTAGTCTTTAGCATTGTTTCTATAGGTATTAAATTAACTAAAAGTATCCCTTATGGGAAACGAGGGATAGGCCGGATTAAAGGAATGGGTTAGGCTAGTTAACTGCAGCAGGAACATGCCCTTAAGACACAGATCGAGATCGCTCATGCTATTGTTTGTGGCTTAAGAATGCCTTTAAGCAGTTTTCCACCTTGGGCAGGCCAGGCGTTCCTTGCCCTCATTCGTAAACCCACAACCTTCCAGCTTGGGCGTTAGGGCCATTATGAACATGTTACGGTGCTGAAGAGATTTTGTTTATGGCCAGATTTTGGGGGGCTTGTTCCCAGCAATTTAACAAATACATATCTTAAAATTGAAAGATCTTTGGGGAAAGCTGGAAAGAAATATAGCATGGTCTCAACAAACAGCCCTCTCCCCCACAGTTACCAGTGTGAATAAATCCACCGTTTGCTCAACTATAAAATTCTACAAAATCCAACTTTCCGGAAGGGGCCACTCCTCTCCCTTCAGGGGATCCTGGCTGCTTATTTATTACTTTGAGGTAGTCTGGTGCGTTCTACAAACACAGAGATAATATATATATCTCCCCACTGTATGATTCCTGCATCCTCCCTCCCATGCAAAACAAGGATCCTGAGATTTTTCTCTGGGTTATTCTGATGTGTGTGAGTCCTAAGTCCGAAAAGTTCTGTGCCGGTTATGATCAGAGAAAAGTGAAAGAAAAAAATAGGAAGCAATCAGAAGTAGAATAAGGCCAGGAGAGGGTCACTTATAAGGAATGGGACATTTGTTACCAAGGCGGATCAGATAAATCCAAGACATGGCAAAGAAAGTAAAGTACAAAAATAAATTGGACCATTTAAAAAAATAATTCACTTCATTCAGAACATTAACTTGGACTTCTGAGTTGGTTACTCACTTTACCATTTATAAAGTACTAAGTGCACAATTCTGCATTTTAGTGTCTTTTTATATTCTGACTTAATTTCCTGATCTGTTAGTTTCTTACCTGTTTATTTGTATTTTAGTAAATGAAGCATTTGGAAGACGAGAGAGGCTTGTTCTTGGGAGTGCAAGAAATTCATCTATTAGTGGCCCTTTTGGCAGCAGGAGCTCAGATACACCCATGGAGTCTTAATGAAGATCATCTAATTTCCTGCTTACCTTAACTGGGAATTTTAAAAAGTTGGCCTAAAAATGTTCCATGCGTGGCAGCAACCATGCAGAGTGACTGAAACACAATTCATTTCTGACTGACATTCCTTTCTGCAACTGCGGTGGCACCACAAATATCCGGTCTTTGTGCTTGCTCTTCAGATGGATGGTTTGTAAGGCTCTTGTTGCATTTCTTAAAAAAGAGTAATAAAAAGGATTTTTAAAAAGTAATTCCTTAAACATACCATCTGTCACAGTTAATCTAGATTTGTAAATAGGTAGTAATTTATAGAATTTTTAAAGCGTAAAATCCGGTAATATTAAAAGATAGGTAAACCTAGGCCTGGAAAGGCTGTTATTTGGCTAAAATTGCACAGGAGGCCATGAACAGAGGCAAGTGCCCCAGAGACTCCACTTTCATTCCTAACTGTTCTCAAATTAATGCTCATGATTGAGTATTCTCAGTGCAACTCGTAGAGTTTGATAAGTAAAAGTTACATGCCCCTGTTTTCCTAGCATGATATTCACTGTTATCAAAGACAAGAGGCAGACCATTCATTCATTCTCAAAACACTGAATGCCATTCTGTGCCTAGTGCTATACAAGGCATGGGAGATTCAGTGTGAATAAGTCTTTGCTCTCCACCTAACAAGGGACAGTTTTAATTATAGATTGTCTTCCTATTAAGTATGAGTTTTAGTAGGCATTAAAAATCGTAATTAGTTTGATAATATGAGACCCAACCCTAACTTGCCAGAAGAGTAATCAGTTCATGAACCATTGATATTTCCTGTATATTTCATGAATGTGACTTCAGTCATTCTAGTGTTAATACTGTGGAATGTCATTGGTGTAGCAACGTGGGTTCACCAAAACACCTTTTTATACAAAAGACAGATGTGTGAATTAAAGAGATTAAAGGATAGAGTATTCTGTTTCTTTGTTTTGATTTGGCTTTTAGGTATTAAAATAAGGCCCAGATCACTAAAAATTAGTAACAGAGGGAGACCTCTAATAGATTTAAAGTCAGTTAATTCTCTCTGAAATTTGATGTTTTCTTCTATAAAGAATAACTCTAAAATAGGCATCTTCCCAGGACTTTCCATTCTCAGGAAAAGACCTAGTTACGTATAAAAAATAACTTCTACTGCTTTATGTAGTCATATAGGTCTGCCTAAAATAAGAATTTGTATTTAATAAATACCAAAATTTTCAAATGGTAAATGGGTTGACACCTCTGTTTCCAACTTGAAAGTGCTAGTGCGATGAATGCTAAGCATGGGGTGTTTTCTGAGCCAAAAGAATGTGCCTCTGAAGTAGCTGGTTAGAGCAGATCTGAGCACCTGGGACCAGAAGAGTGCTGGCCGGGACCTGCAGTTACTGCTAAAAGACAGTGCAGGCAGTGGGTAAGACATCTGAGTAGACAGGCAATAGGGGTAGTCAAGCTGTGGGAACTAGGTAAGATGGGGATTAAAATCCAAGCCCAGATTATAAATGTAAAAGGAGGCTCGATTGTGTCATACTGACTGAGGAAAGGGTTCCACATCACTTCCCACCGTGGGTACATTTTGCACCTAAGTGTGGGTAGATCTGAGCCCAAAGATGTGTGGCTTAGAATGCCTGTCTACCATAGAAAGTGGGGGAATGACAGGTAACATTTTCACCACTGGTAGTTTGTTGGTGACTGGTGTTTTCATTACATAGCACATGGAAATGCCATGGAGCCAAACATATTTGTCAAAGTGAAAACCCGATACTAACTTTTAAACAATTTTACCCAGATGGCTGGGCACGGTGGCTCAAGCCTGTAATCCCAGCACTTTGGGAGGCCAAGGTGGGCAGGTCACCCGAGGTCAGGAGTCCAAGACCAGCCTGGCCAACATGGTAAAACCCCGCCTCAACTAAAAATACAAAAATTAGCTGGGCATGGTGGTGGGTGCCTGTTAATCCCAGCTACTTGGGAGACTGACGCAGGAGGATCAGTTGAACCTGGGAGGCGGAGATTGCAGTGAGCCAAGACCATGCCATTGCACTCCAGCCTGGGCAACAGGAGTGAAACTCCGTCTCAAAAAATAATTACCCAGATGTAGGCAGGTGCCAGCTAATTATATCTGGGAATTCAGATTCTGCAAAACCCACTGTTTATAAAGTAGAAATATCAACTTCTATGATACTATATTCTATGAGCATTATACAGGTAGAACTTAAAGGCCTCAATTTTTCAGGACAACCCAAACTACATCTTATGAAGCTCTTTTCAGTAAAGGTGGTATATGAAATGTATGCTATACTCTTACATACTCTTTTAGGTGGAGGAGGTTTTTGTTTGTTTTTTGTTTTTGTTTTTTTAGACTGAGTGTTGAGTTGCCCAGGCTGGAGTGCAATGGCATGGTCTCGGCTCACTGCAACCTCCGCCTCCCGGGTTCGAATGATTCTCCTGTCTCAGCCTCCTGAGTAGCTGGGATTACAGGCATGTGCCACCATGCCCAGCTAATTTTTGTATTTTTAGTGGAGATGGGGCTTCACCATGTTGGCCAGGCTGGTCTCAAACTCCTGACCTCAGGTGATCGCCTGCCTCGCCTCCCAGAGTGCTGGGATTACAGGCATGAGCCACCGTGCCCAGCCAAGGGAGGTCTTTTCAAAGTAAGTACTTTTAAAACATCCTGTCAGAACAAATAGCCAGATTTTGTTTCAAAAACAACTTGTTTCATACTTCCATTTCTAGATGTGACAGTATAGCTTAAGCAAAAGCTGAACAGGAGGCATGCAACATCTATTTGAAGGCACTGAAGTGCTTCTAAGGCAGCCAGGACTTGAGGGCAAAGATCCTGGGAGAAGGGATGTGCAGAGAATTAACCCCATGTGATGATGCTGATTTTCTTAGGCATTTACCAATTTTTTGTTGTACAAGGTAAGAAAACTGAGAAAAGCAGCAGAGCAAAAACAAAAATTGAACTTGATTTCAAAAAGGAAGGTCTCTAAAAACACTCCAAGCTCTGCCACTGTGACCCCTCAAAGGCTATACCCCAAAAGTTGAGATAAACCAGTAGAGCTAACCTTAGGAATCTGAAGCCCAGCCTTGAGTAAGCTCAGTTTTTGACTGGATTGAGGTGTCCCTGCTCTACTTTGACAGAGGACAGGGTGAATCCTCCCTGGAAGAGGATAATTTCATCCACAGCTTCTATAGTTTTTCATACACAATCTCTAGCATTCCAGCAAAGATTTCTAAGCATACTAAGAAATAGCACCATGAGAAAGATAGACCTGTAATAAATTCACACATTGGACTTATGTTGGACATGAACTTTGAAATAGGCAGGATTGGTAAATGTAAGAAAAAACAAGATTGAATATATCATCAAGGAATTGGAATCTATAAAGAATTAAATGAGAACTCTAGAACTTAAGAGAATTTTATATATGAGACTAACACATTAGAGTTGAAGAAGGATTAGTGAATGTGAGGGTAGGTCAATGGGAAATATCCACACTAAAATACAAAGAGTTAAACATATATATAAAAATGTATAAGATGCATCAGGCATGGTACAAAAGTCTAACATATGTGTAATTGGAATCAGACTAGGATGAGGGAGAGCAATAGCCAAAAAGATTATGGCCAAAGTTAAACACAAGTGTATGAACCTGAAACTACTCCTTGGTATATATCCAGGAGAAACAAAACATGTCCTTACAGAGACTTATATGCAGATGTTCAGCAGCAGTGTCATTCTTAACAGCCCCAAAGTGGAAACAATCCAAATATTCATCAGTGGGTGAATGAATAAACAAAATGTGGGATAACCATAAAATGGATTTCTGTTCTGTGATAAAAGGGAATGAACTAATACATATGGCAACACAGATGAACCTTTAAGACATGCTAAATGAGAGAAGTTGGACATGAGGCCATATATAATTCCATTTATATGAGGTTTTCAGAGGAAAAGGCAAATCCATACATACAGTACCTTAATCATTTCCTGGGATTGGGAATGAGAATAGAGTGTGACTGCAAATGAGCAAAAAGGATCTTTTTGGGTGGTGGAAGTGATTTAAAGTAGGATTGTGGTGATGGTTGCACTATTTTGAATATCCTAAAAACCAATGGATTGTACACTTAAAATGGGTGAATTTTATGGTAAGTAAAATACTTTCTTTAAAAAGATGAAGACACTGGCTGAGCATGATGGCTCACACCTTTAATTCCAGAATTTTGGGGGGCCAAAGTAAGCAGATTGTTTGAGCCTGGGAGTTCAAGACCAGCCTGGGCAAAACCCCATTTCTATAAAAAATCTCTATAAAAAATACAAAAATTACCTGGTTGTGGTGGCGCTCACCTGTAGTCCCAGCTACTTCAGAAGCTGAGGTGGGAGGACTGCTTGAGCATGGGAAGTGGAGGTTGCAGTGAGCCAAGATCACACCATTGCACTCCAGCCTGGGCAACAAAGTAAGACCCTGTCTCAAACAACAATAATAATAATAATAAAGTTACGCTAAACTTAGGCAGAATGAAAACGATCCCAGATAGGAATACAGACATGCAAGAAGGAATAATGGTCAACATGGGTAAATTTAAGTGAATATTACCACAGAAAACAGTAATAATAATGTTGTATAGGGCTTAAAATGTCTGGAAGATTAAAATGCCTGACAAAAGGCTAGAAGGAGACAAATAGAGTTAAGGTATTCTAAGATCTCAGCATTGTTTTGGAAGGCATAAAAGTATCACTATTACACTCTAATAAATCAAGGATGCATGTTGTAATCTCTAGGTGAACTACTAAAAGAGACATAAGTCCAATGTGTGAATTTATTACAGGTCTATCTTTCTCATGGTGCTATTTCTTAGTATGCTTAGAAATTTTTGCTGGAATGCTAGAGATTGTGTATGAAAAAAGCCAAAAGGGGAGAAAGTGAATAATACTTGATTAATTCAAAAGAAGCAAGGAGGCCAGGCACAATGGCTGATGCTTGTAATCCCAGCACTTTGGGAGGCCAAGGTGAGTCAATCACCTGAGGTCAGGAGTTCGAGACCAGCCTGGCCAACATGGTGAAACCCCATCTCTACCAAAAATACAAAAATGAGCTGGGTGTGGTAGCATGTGCCTGTAATCCCAGCTACTCGGGAGGCTGAGGCAGGAGAACTGCTTTAACCCAGGAGGCAGAGGTTGCAGTGAGCCAAGATCATGCCATGCACTCCAGCCTGGGTAACAAAGTGAGACCCTGTCCCCGCCCCCCCAAAAAGAAAAGTTAGAAAAAGACCAGCAATTTAAACCCCAAAATGTGGACAGAAGGAAATAACAGAGTAGAAATTAATGTCATATACAACAAATACAATATAGAAAATCATCAAAGAAAAAATGGATTATTTACAATACTAAAAGTTGATAAACCAATAGCAATAGTGAACATAATACAAATTATTAACATCAGACTTGAAAAGGAGGACATCACTACAAACCCTATAGACACTAAACGGTAAGAAGATATGAAAAATTTTTTGTGATTAAATTTGAAAATGTATATTAAATAGACAAATTCCTAGAAAAACATAACTTATGAAAACTGATAATAGAAGAAATAGAAAATTTGAATATTGAAGCATGCTTCTTATTCATTTACAACAGACATGTTTAGCTAGGTCAAAGAAACAGAGTTTGGCTCCATGACTGCCCTGAAATAATTTCTTCTCTCTGTAGTCATAGAGTTACACAGTGAAAAACCAGAAAAGAGTCTGATCCTGCAGGTTACTGATACACAAGATAAGTTGAATTCACTGCTTCAGCAGGTTTCTTAAATAACAATTAGATTATTTTGGAAGAAAGAATGCAAACCCAAAAAGTAGAATGGTGATATCTGAGAACATTACAATGACCAAGTACCCAAAACCCAAAGATCTGCCAACAGAAGTAGCTCCTCCCCTATCTAATGAGAATGGTTCTGATTTTCTTGAATATCTTGTAATGACCACACCTCAGGTAGTTATCTTCTAAAATAGTCCCCATTCTCTTCATTTACCACTCCTACCACCTCTTATTTCTTCTGACCTATGACAAGGTGAAACACCAAATTCTCTATAATTCCAAAGTCAAACCTTGGAAAAGAAAGTTTACATATTAACAGAATTGTAAGAATTTCCTAATGTATTGGCAAAATCTTAAGGAATATGTGTCAGCAAGATTCTGAGGATTCTAGACCAGGGAAGGAGAAACACAGTTTAAACTGTGTTTATTGATATGGATAACATTTAATTGCAGGTGATCATGGGTGATAATCTAACCCATGTCCCAGCCATGCATGCCAGGTACAATTCTGTCTCCCCTCCTCTAACAGTAACTAGATCCTCACTGCCTTGAAACCAGCCAGGTCAGATAAGTAGTTCAAGATGTCATTTCCTTAAGGATCTGTTGTCTGTACTATTTTCAGACAACTCCTCTAGCTAGTTTAAGCAAAAAGAATTTTTTGAGCAATATAGATCACTCATGGAATCACTCACTGAAAAGGCTGACAAAATGGAGTCTAAGCTGAGTTCTAGGAATGACTCCTAATCCCATACCACAGACATGAACTCACAAGGTGCATCTGCTGCTTCTATGGTCAACAAGTCACCTACCACATCAGAAAGCCTCCATCCACCATCACCACCAGCTCTAAAACCACACCACACTGGTAATATCCAAGCCTGCACAGTAGATACCTCAGGCCCTGCTTCTCTCCCTGCGTAATTCAGTTCTGAATCTAAGTCTCACATGAGTGCATCTAATTAGAGGAATTTTAGTTTTGCTTGGAATCTCAGCTCTGAAGGGATCTGGAAAACAGTTTTTGGCTTTCCAGAATCTACAGTAAGGAAAGCATGATAAAGGGGATTGACATCTACAGCATGCCCCTTGTATAATTCACGTTAATATATAGCTAGGGATAGATAATAAATGATCAGACAACAGGCTTTTTAACAATATGTCTTGGAGATATTCCTGTGTTAGTACATATGGTTTAACCTCATCCTTTTTAATGACAGCATTGTATTGCTTAGTATGGGTGTGCCATGATTTCTCCAACATTTCCTTTCTGGAAAACACTTAGATTTTTTCCATCTTCACTTAAAAATACTGGTGTATTTTTCTATCCTCACCACACATCCATAAGAAAGGACTAGGATCCTGTACATAATTTTTTTTACATATGTATGAGCATTTCCATAAGATTTCTAAAAGTGAAATTACTGAATCAAAGGGTATATAATTCCTAAATTTGTTTGGACATTGCCGAATTACCTTTGAAAATAGTTTTTGCCAATTAATACTTCCAACTAAAAAATTTCCTCTCTTCCCCTAAGCGGCCTGGGGTGATCTGTGAAAATGGTTCTCTAGTCACTTGACCCAGGAAACCCCACAAAATCATGCAAATCAAGAGGTTCAAATCTTCATGTTCACTAAGAACACTCGTGAAACTGGCCAGGCCATCAAGGGTATGCATATATGAAAAGCCACCAACCCTAAAGATGTCACTTTACAGAAGCAGTGTGTTCCATTCCGAGGTTACAGTGGTGGACTTGGTAGGTGTGCCCCTGCCAAGTAGTGGGGCTGGACACAGGGTTGGTGGCCCCCAAAACAGTGCTGAACTTTTGCTGCACATGCTTAAAAATACAGAGAGGAATGCTGAGCTTAACAGCTTAGATGTAGATTCTCTGGTCACTGAGTATATCCAAGTGAACAAAGCACCTAAGATGCACCACAGGACTTACTAGAGCTCATGGTCAGATTAAGCCATACATGAGCTCTTTGAGATGATTCTCACTGAAAAGGAACAAATCCAAAACCAGAAAAGGAGGCTTCCTGGAAGCAAAAGATATCCCAGAAGAAAGTGAAGAAACAAAAACTTATGGCATGGGAATAAATTTAGCGAAAAAGAAAGTAATTAAAACTTTTTTTTTTTTTAAAGCGTTTCCTTTCCCTTAAACCTAGGTTAGGACTTCTAAATCTTTGCGGCTTTATGGCCAAAAACAATACAATTGCACTTTCTTATTACTCATGAGGTGGAGTATGTTTTCATGTTCTATTGTCTATTGTATTTCTTTTTTCTTTGATGGCTTGCCTGTTTATATCTTTTGCTGTTTTGTGCTTTTAAAAATTAATCTGTAGGTGTTTTTTTCTATTCTGCTTGTTAGTCATGTTTTTCTCCAGTATATCACTGGGGTCTTAATTTTGGTCATAAATTTAGGTCTTGTTTAGGAAAGCCTTCCCCACCCCAGCATTTAAAAAATAATTGGTGAATTTTTTACATTTATCTCTTTAAATTCATCTGGAATTTACTTGTGTGTAGTCTGAGGTAAAAATATAATGTTTTACCAAACGGATAGCAAATTGTTCCAATACTGTTAATTGAATAGTCCATTCTTTCTCTACTGGTTGAAATGCCAACTTTATATTATATACAATATATTTATATCTATATACCTTATTCTGGACTTTCCATTCTGTACTAGTGAGTTATTTCCTATGCCAATAACAATTATTATTTTTTATTTTACTTTAAGTTCTGGGATACATGTGCCGAATGTGCAGGTTTGTTACATAGGTAAACATGTGCCATGGTGGTTTGCTGCACCAATTAACCCGTCATCTAGGTTTTAAGCCCCGCATGCATTCGGTATTTCTAACAATTATTTTAATTACTATAGCCTTAATATTTTGGTTCCCAACAGGACAAGTTCCCCTCATAGTTCATCATTCCCCAAAAAATTCCTGGCTATTCTCTTATGCTTTCTTTTTCAAATGAATTTGAAGTTGTCAAGCTCCATAAAAATCCTTTTAAGATATTGAATGGCATGTTATTGAATTTATAGTTATAAAAGAATAATTTAATAATTGTATACTATGGAATCTTTCCATTTAGGTTCATGGGTCACCTTTCCACTTAATGTTCTTTTACATCTTTTTTTTTTTTTTTTTTTTTTTTTTTTGGAGATGGAGTCTCGCTCTGTCACCCAGGATGGAGTGCAGTGGAGTGATCTTGGCTCACTGAGACCTCCACACCTCCTTGGTTCAAGCAATTCCCCTGCCTCAGCCTCCCGAGTAGCTAGGATTACAGGCACATGACACCACGCACAGCTAATTTTTTTGTATTTTTAGTAGAGAAGGGGTTTCACCATGTTGGCCAGAGTGGTCTCAAACTCCTGACCTCAGGCAATCTGCCAGCCTCCGCCTCCCAAAGAGACAGGATCTCAACTCTGGAGCCCAGGCTGAAGTACAGTGGTGCAATCATAGCTCAATGCAGCCTTAAATTCCTGGCTCATGCAATCCTTCACCTCAGCCTCTGGAGTAGCTAGGACTACAGGTGCGCACCACCACACCCAGCTAATGTTTAAAGTTTTTGTTGAAACAAGGTCTTACTATGTTAACCAGACTGGTCTCGAATTCCTCAAGCAATTCTCCTGCCTCAGTTTCCCAAAGTGTTGGGATTACAGGTATGAACCACAGCACCCATTCTATCTTTCAAATGAAGTTTATTCTCTTTTCATATAGACTTTGCTAGTTGTTGGATTTATTCCTAGGTTTATATGATTTTAATACTAAGGTGGATAGGACACTTTTCTCATATTTTGCAGTTTGTTATGCCTAATATACAGAAGAGCTATGAAAATGTGTATGCTCTCTTTGTACTGGGCACCTTGTTAAACTCTCAGTTCTTACAGTTTTTCAGTTAATTTTCTTGATAATTGTCTTCAAAAAGGGAAAGTTTATCTGTCTTATTTCCTTGACTAGGATCTTTGGTACAATGTGGAATACAGTTGTGGAGAGGACAACATTGTCATGTCCCTTTAATGGAACTATATATGTCTAATAGTTTACCACTTTGTGGATTGTTCACTGGTGGTTTTGGTTTTTTGTGTATTTTTGTTTGTCTTTTTTTGAGATGGAATCTCGTTCTATTGCCAGGCTGGAGTGCAGTGGCGCGATCTCGGCTCACTGCAACTTCTGCCTCCCGGGTTCAAGCAATTCTCCTGCCTCGGCGGCCTGAGTAGCTGGGACTACAGATGTACACCACCATGCCCAGCTAATTTTTGTATTTTTAGTAGAGACAGGGTTTCACCATGTTGGCCAGGATGGTCTTGATCTCTTGACCTCGTGATCCACCCACCTTGGCCTCCCAAAATGCTGGGATTATAGGCATGAGCAGCCGCATCCAGCCAGTTCACTGGTTTTTTAAAAATTTATTTGTTTTAATTTGCCTTTTTATTTTTTTGAGACGGAGTCTCGCTCTGTTGCCAGGCTGTGACATTTCTGATAAACTTTTAACATTCAAATTATCATGCTTTTCCTTTTATATGGAAAACTTTACTCCTTTTTCTCTGGCTAACTTGTATTCATCCTTTAAAGTTCAGTTTAAATGTCATTTCCTGAGTAGGGGGGTTCCAAGATGGCCGAATAGGAACAGCTCCAGTCTACAGCTCCCAGCATGAGCAACACAGAAAACGGGTGATTTCTGCATTTCCAACTGAGCTTTGAAGAGAGTGGTGGTTCTCCCAGCAAGGAGTGAGATCTGAGAACGGACAGACTGCCTCCTCAAGTGGGTCCCTGACCCCCGAGTAGCCTAACTGGGAGGCATCCCCCAGTAAAAGCAGACTGACACCTCACATGGCCAGGTACCCCTCTGAGACGAAACTTCCAGAAGAACGATCAGGCAGCAACATTTGCTGTTCAGCAATATTCGCTGTTCTGCAGCCTCTGCTGCTGATACCCAGGCAAACAGGGTCTGGAGTGGACCTCCAGCAATCTCCAACAGACCTGCAGCTGAGGGTCCTGACTGTTAGAAGGAAAACTAACAAACAGAAAGGACATCCACACCAAAACCCCATCTGTATGTCACCATGATCAAAGACCAAAGGTAGATAAAACCACCAAGATGGGGAAAAAACAAAAGTCAGAATGCCTCTCCCGCTCCAAAGGAACGCAGCTCCTCGCCAGCAACAGAACAAAGCTGGACAGAGAATGACTTTGACGAGTTGAGAGAAGGCTTCAGACAATCAAACTTCTCCGAGCTAAAGAAGGAAGTTCGAACCCATCGCAAGGAAGCTAAAAACCTTTAAAAAAAGATTAGACGAATGGCTAACTAGAATAACCAGTGTAGAGAAGTCCTTAAATGACCTGATGGAGCTGAAAACCATGGCACAAGAAGTATGTGACGAATGCACAAGCTTCAGTAGCCAATTTGATTAACTGGAAGAAACAGTATCAGTGATTGAAGATCAAATGAATGAAATGAAGCAAGAAGAGAAGTTTAGAGAAAAGAGAGTAAAAAGAAACAAACAAAGCCTCCAAGAAATATGGGACTATGTGAAAAGACCAAATCTACGTCTGACTGGTGTACCTGAGAGTGACAGGGAGAATGGAACCAAGTTGGAAAACACTCTGCAGGATATTATCGAGGAGAACTTCCCCAACCTAGCAAGGCAGGCCAACATTCAAATTCAGGAAATACCGAGAATGCCACAAAGATACTCCGCGAGAAGAGCAACTCCAAGACACATAATTGTCAGATTCACCAAAGTTGAAATGAAGGGAAAAATGTTAAGGGCAGCCAGAGAGAAAGGTTGGGTTACCCACAAAGGGAAGCCCCTCAGACTAACAGCGGAACTCTTGGCAGAAACTCTATAAGCCAGAAGAGAGTAGGGGCCAATATTCAACATTCTTAAAGAAAAGAATTTTCAACCCAGAATTTCATAACCAGCCAAACTAAGCTTCATAAGTGAAGGAGAAATAAAATCCTTTACAGACAAGCCAATGCTGAGAGATTCTGTCACCACCAGGCCTGCCCTACAAGAGCTCCTGAAGGAAGCATGAAACATGGAAAGGAACTGGTACCAGCCACTGCAAAAACATGCCAAATTGTAAAGACCATCCCTGCTAGGAAGAAACTGCATCAACTAACGAGCAAAATAACCAGATAACATCATAATGACATGATCAAATTCACACATAACAATATTAACCTTAAATGTAAATGGGCTAAATGCTCCAATTAAAAGACACAGACCGGCAAATTGGATAGAGTCAAGACCCATCAGTGTGCTGTATTCAGGAGACCCATCTCACGTGCAGAGACACAGATAGGCTCAAAATAAAGGGATGGAGGAAGATCTACCAAGCAAATGGAAAACAAAAAAAAGACAGGGGTTGCAATCCTAGTCCCTGATAAAACAGACTTTAAACCAACAAAGATCAAAAGAGACAAAGAAGGTCATTACATAATGGTAAAGGGATCAATTCAACAAGAAGAGCTAACTATCATAAATATATATGCACCCAATACAGGAGCACCCAGATTCATAAAGCAAGTCCTTAGAGACCTACAAAGAGACTTAGACTCCCACACAATAATAATGGGAGATTTTAACACCCCACTGTCAACATTAGACAGATCAATGAGACAGAAAGTTAACAAGGATAGCCAGGAATTGAACTCAGCTCTGCACCAAGCGGACCTAACAGACATCTGCAGAACTCTCCACCCCAAATCAACAGAATATACATTCTTCGCAGCACCACATCACACTTATTCTAAAATTGACCACATAGTTGGAAGTAAAGCACTCTTCAGCAAATGTAAAAGAACAGAAATTATAACAAACTGTCTCTCAGACCACAGTGCAATCAAACTAGAACTCAGGATTAAGAAACTCACTCAAAACCGCTCAACTACATGGAAACTGAACAACCTGCTCCTGAATGACTACTGGGTACATAATGAAATGAAGGCAGAAATAAAGATGTTCTTTGAAACCAATGAGAACAAAGACACAACATACCAGAATCTCTGGGACACATTTAAAGCAGTGTATAGAGGGAAATTTATAGCATTTAAAGCAGTGTGTAGAGGGAAATTTATAGCACTAAATGCCCAAAACAGAAAGCAGGAAAGATCTAAAATTGACACCCTAACATCACAATTAAAAGAACTAGAGAAGCAAGAGCAAACACATTCAAAAGCTAGCAGAAGGCAAGAAATAACTAAGATCAGAGCAGAACTGAAGGAGATAGAGACACAAAAAACCCTTCAGAAAATCAATGAATCCAGGAGCTGGTTTTTTGAAAAGATCAACAAAATTGATAGACCGCTAGCAAGACTAATAAAGAAGAAAAGAGAGAAGAATCAAATAGACGCAATAAAAAATGATAAAGGGGATATCACCACCGATCCCACAGAAATACAAACTACCATCAGAGAATACTATAAACACGTCTATGCAAATAAACTAGAAAATCTAGAAGAAATGGATAAATTCCTCGACACATACACCCTCCCAAGACTAAACCAGGAAGAAGTTGAATCTCTGAATAGACCAGTAACAGGCTCTGAAATTGAGGCAATAATTAATAGCTTACCAACCAAAAAAAGTCCAGGACCAGACGGATTCACAGCCGATTTCTACCAGAGGTACAAGGAGGAGCTGGTACCATTCTTCTGAAACTATTCCAATCAATAGAAAAAGAGGGAATCCTCCCTAACTCATTTTATGAGGCCAGCATCATCCTGATACCAAAGCCTGGCAGAGACACAACAAAAAAAGAGAATTTTAGACCAATATCCCTGAAGAACATCGATGCAAAAATCCTCAATAAAATACTGGCAAACCGAATCCAGTAGCACATCGAAAAGCTTATCCACCATGATCAAGTGGGCTTCATCCCTGGGATGCAAGGCTGGTTCAACATACGCAAATCAATAAACGTAATCCAGCATATAAACAGAACCAAAGACAAAAACCACATGATTATCTCAATAGATGCAGAAAAGGCCTTTGACAAAATTCAATAGCCCTTCATGCTAAAAACTCTCAGTAAATTAGGTATTGATGGGACATATCTCAAAATAATAAGAGCTATTTATGACAAACCCACAGACAATATCATACTGAATGGGCAAAAACTGGAAGCACTCCCTTTGAAAACTGGCACAAGACAGGGATGCCCTCTCTCACCACTCCTATTCAACACAGTGTTGGAAGTTCTGGCCAGGGCAATCAGGCAGGAGAAAGAAATAAAGGGTATTCAATTAGGAAAAGAGGAAGTCAAATTGTCCCTGTTTGCAGATGACATGATTGTATATCTAGAAAACCCCACTGTCTCAGCCCAGAATCTCCTTAAGCTGATAAGCAACTTCAGCAAAGTCTCAGGATACAAAATCAATGTGCAAAAATCACAAGCATTCTTATACACCAATAATAGACAGAGAGCCAAATCATGAGTGAACTCCCATTCACAGCTGCTTCAAAGAGAATAAAATACCTAGGAATCCAACTTACAAGGGATGTGAAGGACCTCTTCAAGGAGAACTACAAACCACTGCTCAACGAAATAAAAGAGGACACAAACAAATGGAAGAACATTCCATGCTCAAGGATAGGAAGAATCAATATCGTGAACACGGCGTTACTGCCCAAGGTAATTTATAGATTCAATGCCATCCCCATCAAGCTACCAATGACTTTCTTCACAGAATTGGAAACAACTACTTTAAAGTTCCTATAGAACCAAAAAAGAGCCCACATTGCCAAGTCAATCCTAAGCCAAAAGAACAAAGGTGGAGGCATCATGCTACCTGACTTCAAACTATACTACAAGGCTACAGTAACCAAAACAGCATGGTACTGACACCAAAACAGAGATATAGACCAATGGAACAGAACAGAGCCCTCAGAAATAATACCACACATCTACAACCATCTGATCTTTGACAAACCTGACAAAAACAAGAAATGGGGAAAGGATTCCCTATTTAATAAATGGTGCTGGGAAAACTAGCTAGCCATATGTAGAAAGCTGAAACTGGGTCCCTTCCTTACAGCTTATACAAAAATTAATTCCAGATGGATTAAAGACTTAAATGTTAGACATAAAACCACAAAAATCCTAGAATAAAACCTAGGCAATACCATTCAGGACATAGGCATGGGCAAGGACTTCATGTCTAAAACACCAAAAGCAATGGCAACAAAAGCCAAAATTGGCAAATGGGATCTAATTAAACTAAAGAGCTTTTGCACAGCAAAAGAAACTACCATCAGAGTGAACAGGCAACCTACAGAATGGGAAAAAGTTTCTGCAATCTACTCATCTGACAAAGGGCTAATATCCAGACTCTACAATGAACTCAAACAAATTTACAAGAAAAAAACAAACAACCCCATCAACAAGTGGGCAAAGGATATGAACAGACACTTCTAAAAAGAAGACATTTATGCAGCCAACAAACACATGAAAAAATATCATCACTGGCCATCAGAGAAATGCAAATCAAAACCACAATGAGATACCATCTCACACCAGTGAGAATGGTGATCATTAAAACGTCAGGAAACAACAGGTGCTGGACAGGATGTGGAGAAATAGGAACACTTTTACACTGTTGGTGGGACTGTAAACTAGTTCAACCATTGTGGAAGACAGTGTGGTGATTCCTCAAGGATCTAGAACTAAAAATACCATTTGACCCAGCCATCCCATTACTGGGTATATACCCAAAGGATTATAAATCATGCTGCTATAAAGACACATGCACACGTATGTTTATTGCAGCACTATTCACAATAGCAAAGACTTGGAACCAACCCAAATGTCCATCAATGATAGACTAGATTAAGAAAATGTGGCACATATACACCATGGAATACTATGCAGCCATAAAAAAGGGTGAGTTCCTGTCCTTTGTAGGGACATGGATGAAGATGCAAATCATCATTCTCAGCAAACTATCACAAGGACAGAAAACCAAACACTGCATGTTCTCACTCATAGATGGGAACTGAACAATGAGAACACTTGGACACAGGAAGGGGAACATCACACACCAGGGCCTGTCATGGGGTGGGGGGAGGGGGGAGGGATAGCATTAGTAGATATACCTAATGTAAATGACAAGTTAATGGGTGCAGCACACCAACATGGCACATGTATACATATGTAACAAACCTGCACGTTGTGCACATGTACCCTAGAACTTAAAAGTATAATTTAAAAAAAAAGTGTCATTTCCTTTGAGAAGCCTCCCCTCATCTCTGTAGCCTGCATAAGATACCCCTGCTGTGTTAGAATGTAATTTGTCTTACTCCTTTTAAAATTTTGTAATTACTTATTTAGTAGTCTCCCTCATTAGATTTTTTTTTTTCTTTTTCAAACGCAGTCTCGTTGCCTTGCCCAGACTGGAGTGCAGTGGAGTGGTCTTGGCTCACTGGAGCCTCCACTTCCTGGGCTTCAGCGATTCTCCTGCCTCAGCCTCCTGACTAGCTGGATTACAGGCATATGCCACCACACCTGGCTAATTTTTGTATTTTTAGTAGAGATGGGGTTTCACCATGTTGGCCAAGCCGATCTTGAAATCCTGGCCTCAAGAAATCCACCCGCCTCGGCCTCCCAAATTGCTGGGATTACAGGTGTGAGCCACCGTGCCCAACCCCTTGTTAGATTTAGTATGAAGTAATAGGATTTTGCTTTTTGTGTTACAAAAATCTAGCTAACTGGGATGCCTTACCACTTGATATATTCAGAATGTCTTTTCCCAGCATTCATAGCAAGCAACCATACATACATAGTCTCAGGGCATTTCTCAAGTCTTACTAATCAATTTAAAAAACTTGATTATTATCAACCACCAAAATGAGAGTACTGAGCCACCCAAGCTAGATGACTTTTCCGTAATCATGCTAATAACTCTATGCCACAGAATACAGTAGAAAAAGCATCGAATGCAGAGCTAGGAGGCCTTACTTTCCAATCTCACACTTCAGTAACTGCATTAACTTCTGGGACATTCTGTGGCCTCGGTAAAACAAAGATATTAAAACCTACCCTACAAGGTTGTTATTGTGAAGTTAAAGCACTTAACTTATAATAAACTTACTTAAGTTACTCGAGTTCTCTTCCTTTCTTTCGAATGGTTACTTCTCAGCTTAAAATCAAATTTCCTGGTCACAAGCCATTGCTTTTCCTTAAATACACACTTCTCCAGCCCTTAAAGTCTAACGTGTTCCTTTCCCAAAGAAACAAACAATGCTGGATGAATAGACCATCCTGCTTTTCTCTTGCTATGAAACATACTATTTGCACACTGGCACGGTGGGAATTTTAGATGCAACGTAGCCTGGCTCCCTTTCTTTTTGCTACAGCACATCTGGGTCAGGCATCTTGAATAAGTCCCTTAACAGAATATTATGTCATCTCACATGCTTTTGAATAATTCACTTGTCATAACTGAGTGGTAGTTGGCTCTAATCAACTAAGAGCAATGACCCACAAAGGTGTTCTATGCTTATAAAAAACAGATTCCACAACCCCAGTGCAAATATGCAACTAAGTGTAAGCAGCAGTGTGATGCATCCTGAAATGAGGTGTGTCAGAACAACAGCAGCGTCTAAATAATGTTTCACGTAGATTAACATGGAAGAGAGCCCTGGAAGAGAAATACAGGCATTTTTAAAAAGTGCTCCCAGGCAGCCAATCAGTGAATATGAAATGCAACAAACTGGTTTTTTTTTTTTGTTTTTTTTGAGATAGAGCCTTGCTTTGTTGCCCAGGCTGGAGTGCAGTGTCACAATCTTGGCTCATTGCAACCTCCGCCTGCTGGGTTCAAGTGATTCTCCTGCCTCAGCCTCCTGAGTAGCTGGAATTTACAGGCTCCCACCACCATGCCCAGCTAATTTTTGTATTTTTAGTAGAGACAGGGTTTCACCATGTTGGCCAGGCTGGTCTGGAACTCCTGACTTCAAGTGATCCACCTGCCTCCCAAAGTGCTGGGATTACAGGTGTGAAAAGTGTAATTTTTCTGAACTTCATTTTCAACATCTAGACAACTGAGGGTAAAGCCTACTTTTATAATGCCCTATGAGGAGTAAAACTATAAATTAAAATGTACTACCACTAGAAAGCATATTTGCAAGCAAATGTGTCACAAGGTCCTAGGCAGTGCTAGCTAAGAGGGGCCAGAAGTTGTGTCTATTAACCAATTAACAGATCATTCAAGAAGTAAAATTTCCCAAAGTAAGTGACTTTCACCTTAGGTGATTTTTCTTTCCCAAATCTGGCCCTAAACTGATCTTGATGCTTGCCCAACCCCAAAGCCCATGCCCAGCCTGAGCCTCAGCAAGTATGTAGCAGCACAAGATGTGCTGCAGGGTGAGGAGGCAGGTGCTGGGGGCAGAAAACACAAAGAACAAAGCATGCTTTCCATGTGCTCCCTAACTTGTGGATATAAATATGCATTGTCTAAATGGAATAGTTTAGAGTTTATGTGATTTCCTTTAAAGACTTGTAGCCTGGGCCAGGCACGGTGGCGCATGCCTGTAATCCCAGCACTTTGGAAAGCGGAGGCAGGCAGATCACCTGTATCCAAAGGCAGGAGCAGAGCCCTAGTTATTTTTCTGTTCCCCCTACAATGCCTTAAAGTGTACCAGCACTTAATAAATGGTTTTTGAAAAGACCACTCTCCTTGTCTGAGGACTACACAGGCCTGAGTGCCTAATGATCCTCAGTGTGCATATGCAAGAAAAGCTAAGGAGCAAAAAAGCTGTTAAGGAGTGGTTTCACCCCTTTCAGTAGTAGGGAAATTTGCTGGCGGCAATATACACCACTAGAAATGGTGCCTGCCTTTATATTGCTCATGCTAATCTGTAAAGCTGGGGTTAAACTGAAGTCACTATACTGGAAGCTGCTCCCCTTTAAGCAATCATTATCAAGAACGTATATCTGGTTAGACTGTTTAGTTTGCCAGGGCTGCCACAACAAATTGCCATGGACCGGGAAGACTAAACAGAAATGTATTGTTTCCCAGTTCTGGAGGCTGGAAGTCTGAGATCAAAGCAATGGCAGGACTGTTCAGAGGGCTGTGAGGGAAGGACCTGTTCCAGGCCTCTTTCCTTGGGCTTGGAAATGTCTTCTCCCTGTTTTCACATCATCTTCCCTCTGTATAAGGCTTTGTCCAAATTTTCTTTTTCTAAGAACACCAGTCATATTGGGTTAGGTCCTAACTTAAGGACTTCATTTTAACTTAATTCCTTCTTTAAAAACCGTATCTCCAACTACAATCACATTTTGAGATTACTGGAGGTTAGGACTTCACCATATGAATCTGGTGGTGTTGGCAGGGGGCGGTGTGTTCACCTGTAACAGACCATAATCACTTGTGTATATGGAGATATGTCATTCCTTAGTGTGTGCCTCCAAGTTTGGTGATCAGATCATCAAGTTTACATACTTGATGAGGTGCTGACAGCCTCTGGCATGTTTATGCTTCTTGAGACACAGGTAAAGGAGTGTTTACTAGAAAGCGGGGACACAGGTCAAGCGTGAAAAGGCTGACGAAGACTCTACTTCCTGTTACCTCTTTGCCCTCTGAGAATCTCAGCACAACAAAAATGCCAGGATTATGAGCCACTGACCTTTTTGAGAAGGAAATGCCAAGCATACAGTGAGCTGCAAGAATACTCTGAACTAGTTTATAGGCTTTGGCCTTGAAAACTCAAATTATTCCAGTTTTATTTATATTACTAAAATCTAGAGCTTCTTGGATATTCTATATGTCAATTTTTTTTAGTGTAGAAACCTATGTTAAAATGAAAAATGTAGACTAATGGGAAACTAAAGAATATCAGCTACTGTTTATGTTGAGCACTGTGGGAGCCACTGACACGTATGAACTTAACATCTAAACAGTATAATGAAGCGGCGCTCTTAATACTCTCCATTTACAGTTAAGGGAAGAGGCATAGAGAGCTTACATAACTTGGCCAAGGTTACAAACCTTCATCACACAGCAAAGCCCACACTAGAGAACATTCTGCAGGGCTCCAGAGCCTACATACACATCCTGCCTCTCACCGTGACCATTTACTCAACAGCAGCAAGGCCACCCAAAATGGGCAGAAAAGGCTGAAAACATTCATGTCAAAGGGCACTTACTTATTTATTCATCTTGTGAAAATGACTTAGAATTTAAAATTAAGAGGTAAAAAAATGGAGAGACAGTTGTAAATACTAAGCACTAACAGCTACAACTTCACTAAAAAGGTTTCCAAGCTTCCTCTGCTGTTTGTGTTCCTCTGACACTAGGCGTAACTATCTTGGGCATCATTTCAGTCTTGGGAATGAAGGAAGTGAACCCAGTGTGTGCTACTGAGATAAAGGAAGAAAGGGAGCTTAGAGTCCCAGTACCAGTGGTTTCCTGGGTATGGGGGAACCAGCCAGCTGGATGCCTTTGGCAAAATGCTGAGTTTGAAGCTGCCCTAGGAACCAGAGCTGCCCTGAGGGAGGCGTCACGACCCAGTGTCAGCAGCCAACCCTAACCATCCGCAACACATCCCCCAACCCTCCACTGCAGACCTGCCACATTTCTCCAAGGAGGTAACAGAGTAAAGGCATACCTTAGGCAGGAACAGGGCAGAAGAGGGTTGGAAGCACAGGAAGCAGTTTGTCTTAAGTACTAACAGCAGAAACAATAAGAATATGATCTCAAAAGCTAAAATACTCTAGAAATGCTCTCTTCTTCTAACCTCAGAAAGATTCAAATTGTACTTGACTTTCCCTAGAAGACTCACTCATCTCCTTCCTCCATGAAATGAGACTACCAGAGGAATCCTGTATTTTAAAAAAGTTTAATTTTAATCCTTCCTAGAGGAATACAGATTTGAATGAAATACATTCATTCCATAAATACATTAGCAGCAAAACCTTCCCACCAGAGTCCTCTACTCCAGCCCAGAGGTTGTGCCTTGAGCAGGAGAGCATGTTCCATCAATCCTGTCAACTTAAGGGTGGGTCTGCTTCTGAGAAACGCTGGATGTGCATGGGAGACACAATGACCAGGTGCATGGGTGACTTAACTAAGCTGGGACCCTGAAAACAGGCCCATGTGGTCACTATTCAGCCTTCTTTACCTTCCAAAAATCCTTTGGCATCTTCCATGCTTCTCTGATGAGGTTCCTCAGCACTGAGACAACTGGGAAGACCTAACTTTGCACATGCATTAAATAATGTTATTTTGAGTTGGCAATGTTTTAACACTTTTCATAAGGTAAATGAAACATAAAAGATTATTCCCTTCCTTCCCTTCCTCAGGTGAGTCCACATGTACTCATCAGGAGACAATCCAGCAGGCATTATTTGGGCTCTCTGTATCTCCAGGCCCCCTTTGTCTGAATGGCTGGATGTTTACTGGAGACAGGGAGCCATGTCTAAACCTACAAAGATCTCCACGTTACAATAACCAGGTGACTTGCTCAGGCTTCCATCAAAGCTAATTTCTTGGGCAGAGGCCAGGCATCTCTCCTCTTGTTCTCTCCATCACTGACTACTGACTGACTGCTGCTTTTTTATTTGCCCTCCAGGCACCTGCCGAAACTTTGGAAAACAAGATCTACCCTAAACTTCCAAGTGGCCAGGAGCAGTTAAGGCAGGTCCTGCTTTAAACTTACTAGCTGCCAAGTAGCACACTTATGCTGCTGTGTCCCAATCCATTCTGTGGTGAGTATAAGTCACAAGAGTCTGCATAAAACACTATCAGCAATCAGGATGGCTATGGGGCAAGGACCGTTTAGAATGTTACCAAGTCACAGGACCAGCAGGAAAATGGAATAATGGAAGAATGTGAAATAAATCTGATTTGTTTGAGCAGAAGGCAGCTTTGATTCAGGCATAAATGCATCTCCCAGATTATCATGTAAATAAAGACCTCAGAAGTTGACACTTCCCTCCCAGTCCACCACTTAAAACAGGACACATGCTCAGTTTTCCCAATCTGTTTTAAAGTGTTTTCATTAGGATACTCTTCTGTAAGTGCTTTATTCATTCCCAGTCTGTTTTGATTACTGGCTGAAAATAAATCAGGAACCATTTTATATAAAAACCATTATAGTAGATAACTGGTTATGTGTATTTTTCCATTTGCATTTTCATCCAAAATTGCTTGTTTCTTTTCCTTTTATTTATGTGCAGAAAGAGACTCATCCGCTGAATACACAGCACTGTTAATCCTACAGTCTTCTGTCCCCACAGAGTCTGCTAGATCTTCCTCTTCTGAGTCATCCTCTTCTTCCTCCTCTGGTGCTGACGAACTGGAGGTGGGCCCTTTGCAGGTTTTCAGGTGGCGGGTGAGATGGTATTTGGTTAGATAAGCCTTTGTACATTTTTCACAGACATAATCCCGTTTTCCTTCATGAGAATTGAGATGCTTCTTTAAGTGATTTGTTCTCAAGAACAGCTTATCACACTTGGGACACTTGATCTGGCGTTCTCTAAGAGGAACACAAGAAAAAACATTTGATTTGGGGTTACAAATAACAACTGAGGCAACACTTATTCTTCATAGCCGCAGGCCTTTGTCAGAGCAGCTCTATCCTTCTGAATCAGGCTTTTGCATAGGTGATATACAGAAGACTCATAAAACATGTATAGTTTAAAACAGTGTAGGCTCATTTTTCCTGTTTTAGAATACTATGTAAATTCTCAAATTCTATGTAAATTCTATATGTATTTCTTTTGTCTTGCTGCATTCTCTCAGTATGATGCTCATAAAATTCATTCAAGCTGCTGTATCAGTTGTTTGTTCCCTTCCACTGCTGTATACTATTTACAAATATACAAATACACCACAACTTATCTATGGTACTGGATTTGTCTCTAGCTAATGAATGTTTTGGTGGTTTCCAGTTTTTTATTATCACAAGCAAAAGTGCTAGAACGTTTTTAAATTTTTTTAAATTTTTATTATTATTTTTTAGAGACAGGGTCCCACCATGTTGCCCAGACTGGAGTGCAATGGCTATTCACAGGTGTGATCATCATGCACTACAGCCTTGAACTCCTGGGCTCAAGTGATCTGTCCGCCTCAGCCTCCCAAGTACCTGGGACTACAGGTGCATGCCACTGTACCTGGCATTTGAACATTTTTATACTTGTATGGTGCTCTGCAATACATGTTTCTCTAGGGCACATACCCAAGAACTATATAGCTAAATCAAAGGATATGCACATCTTCAACTTTACAAGATAATGACAAACGGTTTTCCAATGTAGTTGTTTCAATATACACATCCATCATTGACGGTTCTGGTTGTCCCATATTCTCAACTGGAAGACTCAAATTTGAAAATGTCTGCCAATTAGCCAGTACATAATGGTATCTCATTACACCGTTATTTGTATTCCCTGGATGCCACTTTTATGGAATTACCATTTTTCTGTCCTTTTCTTAGACTAGTGGTTCTCAAGTAGGGGCGACTGCCTCTATGGGGACATTTGGCAATGTCTGGAGTCCTTTCTGATTGTTATACTGGGGAGGGGTGGTATAATTAGTATCTAGTAGGAAAAGGCCAAGGATGCTGCTAACCATTCTACAATGCACAGGGCAGCCCCACAACAAAAAATTAACCCGGTCAAAATGTCAATAATGTCAAGGTTTGAGTAACCCTGGCCTAGACATTTCAGAGCTGAAAAGAACCTTAGAGATCACACAGACCAGGAATTTTTTAGCTTTTTTTTTTTTTTTGAGTAGCTGAACCCCATGTCTTTATGAAAGCCCAATATGAAACAGTTAAAGCAGGTTATTAATAAAATCCTGGAAGGAGTGAGAGGGTGCAGTCGGGCGTTCTGAAGCCTGGCTTCCTTAGCATTTCTCTCATCCTCTTCTAGCAACAGATGGCACTGAAGAACCCTTAGAATTCCCTGGAGCAGTTTTAAAACCACCAATCTAATCCAACCTCTTAATTCTGCAGATGGGAAACATCATGTGCATAAAAACTACTAAGGAACTTGCCCAAGGCCACAACAAAACCCCTACCAAAAGTCTGACTTTTCATCTTCTACTCTGATGGTTTTTAGATGTTTATTCAACACATATTTACTGTGTCTAATTATGCCAGGCACTGTTCTAGATGCTAGGGCTATAGGATGTGGGTAAACTAAGTCCCTGCTTTCATGAAGCTTACATTCTAAGTGGACAGATTATAGCATAAACAAATGTGTAACGTGGTATCATATAGCAATAAAGACTACGAAAACACACGAAGCCAGGTAAAAGTGAAGGGGTCCTATTTTAGATAAGATAGTCAAGGAAGGCCCTCCTGAGGAGATAACATTTGAGCAGAAACCTGAATGGAGGGAAGAAGACATGCAGGCATCTGGAGGGAGAAGTTTCTAAGGCAGAGGCCCTGAGACTGGATGTGCTTAGTATGCTCAAGGAGTAGCAAGGGGAGGGTCAGAGTGGCCAAAGCAGAATATGAAAAGTAAGAAAAGGTGAAGGGAGAGGTAGCCAAGTACTATTACATCATAAAGGGCCTTCTGACTGCTGTAAAAAGCTTTTAACACAAATACGATGGAAAGCCACCAGAGATGTATGAGTGGAGACAGGCACAATCTGACTTATATTTGAAATGGATTGCTCTGGCACTGCGGACAGAAAACTGTGTGTATGTGTGTTCATCTGTGTTGCGGAGTAGATGAGGAGAAACAGCAAGTAGTGGCAGGGAGATCAACTGGGAGGCTACTGAAGCCATCCATAGAAGAAAAGCTGGTGGTCTGGACAAGGTGTTAGTTGAATGAAGGAAGGAAGGAAAAACTGAGTTGAGAATTACTTCAAGGTGTTTGGCTTGACCATTGAGGTGAATAATGGTGGTGCCATTTAATGAGCTGCTCAGCACTGGAGGAAATCAAATTCATGGGGTAATACTGGGTTGAGTTTTGGACACATAAGATTTAAGTTGCCTAGCGAACATCCAGCATCAGAGCCGCTGAGTGATGGTGAGGTGTATGAGGGTGGAGACATAAATCATATGACGGTATCTAAAGCCATGAGACAAGATGACCTGGGGAGTAAACATCACTGTTCTTCTGCTCACTTCCTCTTTCTTACAGGAAGGGCAAAGCCAGGTTCTGTCACCACCCTTCCACTCTCGGGGGACACTAGGGGGGGAACTCCTCTTGCATTTGGCATTAGGGCTGTAGCTGTTTTTTTTAAGTAGATAAATAAAAAGACTGCTAATACTACTATATCCACTTTGAAATGCCCCAAAGTAAAAATACAAGCATCTGAAAATTTTACCAACGATCTCCATAGGAAGCCTAAAGCCTCATTCAAAACCATTTTGAGGGAACAGTGCTTCTTATAAGAATGACTTATACCAGCTTTAAGTTTTGACAGTCCAAAACCTTCTTTCTATCCCATGAAAGTTTGGCAAAGAGGCTTACCATATCTTCTCACCCTGAAAAGGAGTCCAGATCCACATTTGTTAAGCAAAAGTAAAATGAAAGGATAGAGGCTGATATCGACTTGATTCAAGCAAAACTTTTCCTCAAACTATAATTGTGTGATCTTTAAGAAACAATATATCCACTTGCCAGAGACATTGTGGAAATCAATCTTGCATGTGGATGAAGTCAGTAGTCCTTAACCCTGGCTGGCCACGAGAATCACTTGGGGAGCTTTTTAAAATACCAAGGCCAGAGCTCTAACTCTGACCAATTAAATTAGAATTCCCATGGATGGGGTCCTAGCACCAATTGTTGTTTTTCACATTTTCCAGGCAATTATAATGGGCAGTCTTCTGGACAAATATTTGTCCCCCCTCACCCCAAATTCACATGTTGAGGCCCTAACACCCAGTGTGAGGTGGAGCCTTTGGAAGGCAATTAGGGTTAGATGAGGTCATGAGGATGGGGCTTCCATGATGTAGGATTAGTGTCCTTATGAGAAGAGATTGGAACTCTCATATTCTTTCTCTTTCATTCTCTCAACAGAAACGTATTTTCTCACAGTCCTGGAGGCTGGAGTCAGAGATCAGGGTGCCAGCCTGGCTGGGTTCTGGTGGGGGCCCTCTTCCAGGCTTGCTCATGACTGCCTTCTCTCACTGTGTCTCTCCCGTTGTTTGAGCCACAAAATCTGTGGTATTTTATTATCACAACCTGAGCTGCCTAGACAGGATGTTAAGACTAGATGATCCGGGGATCTCTTTTGGCTCCAATATTGCACAATTTGATGTAATATTTGATAATTTCTGTCTAATTTTGTAAAATTTCATGCTAGCAATGGAACTAAAGAAGTCTTTGTTTTAGAATATCCTTCTGAGAGTTAGGAATGTAGATCCAGGCTCCTTGGCTGTTTAGCATCTCAGGCTGCATTGTGATAAGGAAGCAGACAGAAGAACTGGTATCAAAGCCAAGTGTTTATCCAAATTCTACATTAAGAATATAACGTTTTCAGTGAAGGTAAGATTTCTAAAGAGAATTTCCATAACATAAGCTGAAAACATTTTCTTCCTCTTCTGACACTTGTTAAAAGCTAAGGACAACAAAATCCATCTCTTCTTTCTATGACCACTGTGACTAATGCAGTCTAGACATTTAATTACACTTGGATTCATGCAATAAATACCTAATTGGTCTTCCAATATTTAGGCTTCCCCACCCTCAATCATCCTCTGTTCAGCTGCCTAAGTAATCTTTGTATTAACAGAATGGGTATGTCACTATGACACTCCTTTCCTTAAAATCCTATAGTGCTTGCACAACAACGTGAATATAACTAACACTATTGAACTGGGCACTTACAAACAGTTAAGATAACAATTTTTTTTTTTTAACTGCAATTCAGACAAACACACACACACACACACACACACACACACACACACCAACAGAACAGTTCCAAAATGGCAGGGGCTGGCAGATCCTTCAGTGTCTCGCCATTATTTCTGGACTGAAATTGAATTTTCTTAATAGGACCAAAGGTTCTCCATAGTGTGGCTGCTGACTCTTACTCTTCTCACTCCATCACTCTCTCACATGCACACTATCGTCTAACTATAAGCAACCACTTGCAGTCAATAGTCCTTTTTGTCTCTAGGTTTTTGTAGATGTGAAAAAAGAGTACATGTGAAAAGTAAGAAAAAGAAAGCCAACAACTGAAATCTTCCAGGATAACACCAAAAAAAGTGTTCCAACCTTGGCTTGGCTACATGGAACACAGAAGGCATCTACCATGGTACCAAGGCATGAAACAGATGAGCCAGGACTCCCCAGCCCTTCAATCAGCAGGTGGGCTGCAGCCACACAAAGGCTCACCACCTGAGGAACGACGTCTTGGCTGCAGGGTAACTTACTGAGTGTGGATGAGCACGTGCTGCTTGAGGTCCTGCCTCCGCATAAACAACTTGTCACAGTAATCACACTTAAGATTCTTCTCCCCAGTGTGGATAACCATGTGGGACTCCAGGTGAGCCTTCTGGGTGAAAGACTTGTCACACAAGGTACACCTGTAGTTCTTCTGACCTGCAATCAGCCCAAAGTATTACACCGTGAAGAAAACAACTGCTGGCATCCCCAAGACACACAGGCACACATATGTGCATGCAGCAGAGGCAGGAATGAAACAGAGCTGACTGGTAAGCAGCATTTTACTTTCTAGGGTTGTCTATGTGAGACCACTCAAGAGCTCCTGAGTTTATATTCTGCAACTAAAGCTAGTAAATTAATTTGATCTCCTTTAGGACCTCTGACCTAAATATGTATTTTTAAAAAATGTATAGGTGATACATAAAACTTGAAAAAAATGACTTATAATCCTAATGCCCTAACACAAACATAAAGAAAAAAAAAAAAAACTCATGAATTCTAGGACGTGTCTATAGGGAAACATACTTTTACAAGATAGATTTTATAGTTTTCTATCTTTTTAAAACATATAATATTGCCTCAAAACCAGGGATGAAACAAAATCCTTCCAAGAATGCAAAAATAAGATTCCTCTAAGGGGTCAGCAAACCTTCTCTTAAAGGATAGATAGAATTTTAGGCTTTGTGGGCCATAAGGTCTCTGTTGCAAAAGGATGGGGAAGAAACTTTTGAAGATCTGGAGAAAAGATGACCCCAACAAGAAAGCTAAAGCCATCAGTTATTTTGTAGTATTTATTAAAAAAAGTTAGTGGCCAGGCATGGTGGCTCAGGCCTATAATCCTAGCATTTTGGGAGGCTGAGGTAAGCAGACTGTTTGAGCCCAGGAGTTCAAGACCAGCCTTGGCAACATGGCAAAACCCCATCTATATTAAAAATACAAAAATTAGTCAGGTGTGGTGGCGCATGTCTGCAGTCCATGCTACTCAGGAGGCTGAGGTGGGAGGATCACCTGAGTCCTGGAGGCAGAAGTAGTAGTGAACCAAGATGGTGTCACTGTACTCCAGCCTGGGCAACAGAGTGAGGCCCTATCTCAAAAAAAAATTTTTTTTTTTCTTAAAAAGTACTAAAAGAAAGGTGTTGGTTTGCATGGGATTTAGAAAATGGAAGCTCAAAAAATAAACTGTGGCAATATTTATTGAGCAATAATATTAAAGGAGAGAAACTGGCTCTGGCTGGTGACTGGGGGGTGAGCTCTAATGAGAGGCTCAGACTCAGACTCAGAAGCTTCTATTTAAGACCAAACACATTGATCAACTTCCTGATTATTAAGTGCATTTTCCCAGGCACCTTCCAACTATGGTGGGGAGACCTGGAAAGCAGAACATCCTAATAATTGGAAGTGACAGCCTCCAAGGAATCTCAGTTAAACCACGAAGGTTTCTTTCTCTGACATCAAATCTCAACTCCACCTACAATCCCTCTACAAAGCCTTTACTACCGCATTTTCTAATTGTTGCAAAAATTCCATTCTGATGGGCCAACACAACTTACCTGTATGTATCTTGAGGTGGGTCCGCAGGTTGCTGGGATCACTAAAAGCCTTGCTACAGAAATCACACTTGTGGGGCTTCATACCCATGTGACCCATAAAGTGGACATGAAGTTTGGAAGGAGAGATAAAAGCTTGGGGGCACATTGAGCACTTCCACTTCCTTTCTTTGCTGTGACTTGGCCCATGGCTGCCGCTATGTCCCTGGGTAGGAAGATGGTTATGGATGTGGCTGGTCAGATGGGCTTTGAACTCTGTGTAAGAATTGCACTCCTTGCCACAGTTACAGAGATGCACATCTGGGTGTTCAGGAACACCTTTTAAAAAAAAATTACTCATTATCTCCCAATACTTGAATCTTAAAACTTGTTCTTGATATTAACAATCATTGCTTCCAGTTCTCCTTTCTCTCCATATTTCCAATTTGCCCACTTCCTATAAAACTAAAATAATGTACTAAGGGCATCTAAAATAATGTACTATGGGCCAGGCACAGTGGCTCAGGCCTGCAATCTTAGTGCTTTGAGAGCCCAAAGTGGCATGATCATTTGAGGCCAGGAGTTTAAGATCAGCCTGGGCAACACAGCAAGACCCCATCTCCATAAAAAAAAAAAACTTAAAAATCATTGGCTGGGCATGGTGATGTACACCCATAGTCCTAGCTAATCAGGAGACTGAGGCAGGAAACTGCTTGAGCCCAGGAGTTGAAGGTTATAGTTGGCTATGACTGCACCACTACACTCCAGCCTGCCAGAGTGAGACCTTATCTCTAAATACACACATACATAAGTAAAATAAAATAGTGTACCAGGCACAAAGAAAGCACTTGGTAAATACTGGATTATAAGGCCTCTTTTGTAAGCAAAATATTTAGGTTTTATAGCATACCCAAACTCTTAAACATTAGCTGTCATCATGAAACAGCACAGCAAAGAGAAAGCATATGCAGGTTAAATCAAACCGAGGGACTTCGCTGTCCTTCATGAATTTATATCTCAATGGTGCTAGCTCGAAAAGTAGCCTAAGGAACTTCAATGCCCCAAACCAAAGTCCTACCATAAAAGACCGTATCATATGAATTATTGCTTGGTCAATAACATTCAGCTTGTGAAGAATCTCACAGATTTTAACACCTCAAATACAAGTAATAGTTTGCATTTATACAAACAAAGGTATATGATTTGCTTCAGCTAACATGTAAATCATTACCAAAACTTTAATCCTGGTCTTTGGTATTTTTACTAAGCCAGATTCATTATAAACACATATTAACTTACCAATCTGTTGAGCATAATCTCGGCTATAATAAAAAAGCAGTTCATTTTCAGGAGGGATATCTTGTGAGGTGCAGAAAAAGATTTTTCCATCATGAGGATAAGCCACCAAATTCTGCTCTTCCCGGTTCCTGAGTTATCACATTTAATAGATCAAGCACATTAATTTTGAAATGCATACTAAGTACAACATTCCCCCATTGCAAAATCCTATATGAAAGCTTAGGCAGAACTATTTACTATTTCCTCTGGAATGTTTTTGTAATTTCCCGTCCTATCTATGAGAAGGCAGTTGTAGAGAAACAGAATTCTTACTTCAACATATTAGCTGATGACCTTTTGTAGTCAAAAACACTACAGTCTGTTATTGGAAGCAAACAAGATAAATAAAATGAAGTCTTTAAAAAACAGTATGACAAAGACATAGAGCTAGCTAGCTAAACAAGAATTAACTCCAGTAACTCAGGGGTGGACTAACAGCCAATATAAAGAAAAGGCACCCACTTTCAAATTCAGTGGTAACTATATTGTTCCTTGGTAAGTGCCTTTTTTTTTTTTTTTTTTGAGACAGAATCTCACTTTGTCACCCAGACTGGAATGCAACAGCACCACCATAGTATGATCACAGCTTGAACTCTTCAGCTCAAATGATCCTCCCACCTCAGCCTCCCAAGAGCTGGGACTACATGCATATACCACAACACCCAGCTAATTTGAAAAAAACTTTTTTTAGAGATGAGGGTCTTGCTATGTTTCCCAGGCTGGTCTCGAACTCCTGGCCTCAAGCGATTCTCCCACCTCAGCCACCCCAAGTGCTGGGATTAAAGGTGTGAGCCACCATGCCTGGCTGCCTTGGGCTTTAAGTATGTCCAGGTGTTGGTGTAATTTGGATTCTTAACTCTTTCTTCTTTTATGCAAAGCTTCCTATTGAAAAACATCTAAATGGTAACTATTTTTTCTCATCCAAGACTACTCATACCTGGCTTTGCGCACAAACATCATCCAATTACATTCATTTTCATCAGTTGTAATGATGCAGAATTCTAGGACACCATTGTGGTATATCTGCCAACAGAAAGCAAGCACACATGTCAAATGCACTGACATGCAATAAAGCACTACATTACACTTAGGCCAGCAATCACCTCATTTACTCATTTGCAGTAGGTCCCAGCTTTCTTAGTGGGAAAATATATTCCTACTTCTCCAACATGCTATCATTTCAACATTCTCCCTATTTCCAGCAATACATAAAGACCATCAGAGACCTACAGTTAGTGCTCAGTGAAGAGACTGACTTTGTTTTTGATTATTCAACCTTTGCCTGGAAAAGACAAAAAACCAGTCTACCTGTCCACCTGTCTTCATCACCTATCACACAGTAGGCACTGAATGACTGAATGTCCATTAAGGGCAGAGGATCATCCCTTGTCATGATTTTCCCACTTGGGCCTAGCATTCCAAATTTAAAGTTCCCAATGACAGTGGTACCTTACCTTTCCAAAGATCACAAGACCCATTTTCTCCTTACTTCAATTTCGCAAGCATCATTCCCAATAGATATCTATGTGAAAATGTTGTATTTCTAACCCCTCATTAGAAAACTAGAAAAATAGGCCAGGTGCGGTGGCTCACACCTGTAATCCCGGCACTTTGGGAGGCTGAGGTGGGCAGATCACTTGAGGTCAGGAGTTTAAGACCAGTCTGGCCAACATGGGGAAACCCCGTCTCTACAAAAATACAAAAATTAGCTGGGCATGATGGCAAGTGCCTGTAAATTCAGCTACTTGGGAGGCTGAGGTGGGAGAGTCACCTGAGCCCAGGAGGTAGAGGTGGCAGTAAGCTAAGATTGTACCATTACACTCCAGCCTGGGCAACAGAGCAAGACTCCATCTCAAGGAAGAAAAAAAAAGAAAACTAGAAAAATAATCTTAGCTTCTTATTCCAGAATTATTTCCTAAGATAAACATTTGAGGAATGTTTTAATTACAAAGTAAGACTTTTATCATACAAACAAAGTCTGTGGCCTCAGCAGTCACAAGTAATTCAAATGCATTAAATGGTTAAAATAATTGGATTAACTCACAAAACAGAGACAAAAACAGTTTGTCCTCTATTTCCAGTAGCTGGTGTTTTGCTGTATGTTATAATTTGGCTACCAAGAATGATGAATGTAACATTTAAAAAAATGTACGTGAAATAAATGACTGACCAGTGAATGGCACTGTATCAGTTCTGGCTGATTTTGACTTTATCATAACTTTTTAACTACCTCTTACTAAGAAAAACAGCCAAAAGCCACAGAAAAGTTTCATCAGGACTGACCTTCCAGATATGGTTAACTGCCTTGTCTGTCCATTCTGCTACTTCCATGGAGTGACTCTGCTGGCCAATTAGAGGTCCAAAGCAAGTCCGCACAGGAATGGTTTCTCCAGTCCATACACCTGTCAGTGGAAGGACACCAACTACACAATCAATGATTTAAACAGCAAGATACAGAAGAAAGAGGTGCTTCACCCATGCAAAGAATCTTATTTTCAATGAATTTAACCAATATGTAGGCTGGGCGTGGTGGCTCACGCCTGTTATCCCGGCACTTTGGGAGGCCGAGGTGGGCAGATCACCTGAGGTCAGGAGTTTGAGATCAGCTTGGCCAACAGGGTGAAACCCGGTCTCTACTAAAAATACAAAAATTAGCTGGGCGTGGTGGCGCACGCCTGTAGTCCCAGCTACTTGGGAGGCTGAGGCAGAAGAATTGCTTGAACCCAGGAGGCGGAGGTTGCAGTGAGCAGAGATAGGGCCAATGCACTCCAGCCTGGGTGACAAAGCGAGACTCTGTCTCAAAAAAAATAAAAAAATAAAAAAAACAATATGCTAGCATTCCTCAGAGGTGACTAAGCCTTGTGGGTCCTAGCCCTGTAAATATATAAAATGTAATGAACAGATAACATAGGGCTCACAATAAATGCTGAGTAAGAAGAAATATCAGGAATTCCTGAACCTAGTTTTATCCAAAGGGAATCTTTTCATGTCTCTCCAAATACATTATTTTGGAGTTAAATATAAAAAAGTTTGTAGCTCACACATATAATGAGCCAACACTTTGGGAGGCCAAGGCAGGACTGCTTGAGGCCAGGAGTTCGAAACCAGCCTCGGCAACATAGTGAGATGCTGTCTCTACAAAAAAAATTTTTTTTTTAATTAGCTGGGCATGATTGCATATGCCTGTAGTCCCAGCTACTTGGAAGGTTGCGGCAGGATGATTGCTTGAGCCCAGGAGGTCAAGGCTGCACTCGAGTTACTGTACTCCGTATGTTAGGCCAGTGCACTCCAGCCTGGGCAACAGAGTGAGACCCAGTCTCTTAAAAATAAATAAATAAAAAATAACAGAAAACATTATTCTATTGTAAAAATATAAAGCAATTACTATAGAAATAAATCAGACTTCTAAAATCTTTTGTGCTTAAAGCACTGCTCTATTTTACCTAAACTGTTTGATGCTTTGAAATGACTCACACCCAAACTGCAGCTAAAAGAATAATGAACCTAATTTTATATTTCCAAAGAAATGTCGCAGTAACTCAGAAGCCATGCTAAATTCAAATATGGGTAAGTAAAGTCTGGCAATCTACATTCTTTATTCCTTTTATCTAAGGAGCATTATATAATTTACAAACATTTGATCTAAAGTTGTGTCATAAGGTGAATTTTCCATGTTTCTATAAAAGAAACTAAGTTTTAAGAAATGTGTTGTTAGAATAATTGTTAGTGGATGAGACAGATGAGAATAAAAGTTAAATCTTCAAAGACTCAGTCTAGGATTTTTTGCTTTACTCAATACTGATTCTAACAAAGGAGAGATTTCCCAATAAAGTTTTTGACTTGATTTATTGCTATCATCAGTGGACAAGACTAATATTCCATAAAAGCATAAATCTTAAGCCATAAATTGACTTTTGGTCCAAATAATTACTAAATTATACACATCCACTTTTACAACTCTACGCTACAAAGGAAGAAGAGATGTAATAGTGTTTTACAGTTCCAAGGTTCTTACCAACTTCTGCTCCCACAATTGACTGACGGAGAACAAGCTGCTTTGGGAGAGAAAGCCTTGCTCTGCTCTCTATTGGAGTGTCAGGAACAAAAGTCACTGGTCCATGTTCGGGACAGTCCGAGGGATAGGCGCGGTCACACAGAGTACACCCTGTAGATGGCAAATTTGAGCAATACAAATGGGTTTAGTTCAAGCAGGCTAAATTACCACCACGGTTTTTTTTTTTTTTGAGACAAAGTCTTGCTCTGCACCCAGGCTGGAGTGCAATGGCGCGATTTTGGCTCACTGCAACCTCTGCCTCCCGGGTATAAGCGATTCTCCTGTCTGAGCCTCCCATATAGCTGGGACTACAGGCGTGTGCCACCATGCCCAGCTAATTTTTGAATTTTTAATAGAGACAAGGTTTCCTCATGTTGGCCAGGCTTGTCTGGAACTCCTGACCTCAGATGATGCACCCACCTCAGCCTCCCAGAGTGCTGGTATTACAGGTGTAAGCCACCATGCCCAGCCCCAGGTTTTAATTTAAATGCTAATTACTAAAATGTATCCAGTAAGAAGCACGGTTCTAATAGAGATATTCTTATCAAAGACTCACTTCCTTACACTAACATATATACCTACTCTTACACCACTCTTCAGACTTCAGTAAGATCTGATTTTTTTTCTTTTGATCCAACAGGACAAGTTTCCTATTCAGTGCATAAGAGAAACACTAATGAAAAATTGGCTGGGTATGGTAGTTCACGCCTGTAAACCCAGCAGTTTGGGAGGCTGAGAAGGGAGGATCACTTGAGTCCAGGAGTTCAAGACCAGCCTGGGGTAACACAGTGAGATCCCATCTGTTTAAAAAAAATTAAAAATAATAATAAAAGAAAAAAATAGCACCATATTACTTCAACAATCAAGTACATTATCCCTTACATTAAGTAGATCGTACATTTAGGTATGATGCCCTAAAGTCCAAAAGATTCCAATTCTGAACTGTAAGAGGAAACTGAGTTGAAATGCTGTTAGTTATGCAGAGCCAAAATATGGCCACGGTGGTACAGCTGGCTCTGACCCCAGTGACCTATGCTATGAACATAGGACACTGGCGTCAGAGCCAGCTACACCACTGTACTCTTTTGCTTCACTATAAACAAGATGGTCAACCAAGTTTTGAGGACACATTCTTAAGACAAAAACAATTTGCAGCCTGCTCTTTCAAAGGGCAGAAGAATTGTATTCTTGCAGACATTATTTGCTTAAAATTCTTAATTTCTTATTTTTCATATGGTCTTTCTTTCTGCATTGGCAGAGAGGATGCTCCCTTTATATATTGTTCTCTATTCTTACTACAACTTCACTTTCACAAGCTTATGAGTGTCCTCCTCCGTAAATCTTCTGCTCTATTCTTTACACTTTCCACTCTGCTAAGGAACAGTATTTATGATACTATTACTCAATCATTACATTTAAACTCCACAACCATTCACAAAATAGTTGGAATACATAAACCTTAGAACCACAGTCATCTATCTGTCTTTTCTTTTTTTTTTTAAGACGGGGTCCCGATCTGTCACCAAGGCTGGAGTGCAGTGGCGTTCCTGCTTCAGCCTGCTGGGTAGCTGGGACCACAGGCATGCACCACCACGTCTGGCTGATTTTTTAATACTTTTGCTAGAGACAGGGTTTTGCCATGTTGCCTAGGCTGGTCTCGAACGCATGAGACCAGGTAGAAACACGGCAAATCGTCTCTACCAAAAATACAAAAAATCAGCCAGGCATGGTGGCGAGCACTTGTAGTCCCAGCTACTGGGGAGGCTGAGGTGGAAGGATGGCTTGAACCCGGGAGGTGGAGGTTGCAGTGAGGCTGAGATTGCGCTACTGCACACCAGCCTGGGTGACAGAGCCAGACTCTGTCTCAAAAAAATAAAAAAATAAATAAATAAAAATAAAAAATTAACTGTTGGCAAAAATGTGGAGAAATTAGAACCCTCATCCACTGCTGCTAGGACGGTAACATGGCACAGCCACTTTGGAAAGCAGTTCCTCAAAAAGTTAAACATACGGCAATTCTACTCCTAAATATCCAAGAACAGATGTTCACACAAAAACTTGTACATGAGAGTTCATAACAGCATTATTCATAGTAGCCAAAAAGCAGAAACAACCCAAATGTCCATCAACTGATAAATGGATAAACAAAATGTGGTATATCCATATTACAGATTATTCAGCTCTAAAAAGAAATGAAGTACAAATACATGCTACAACATGGATGAGACAGAACAGTATTATGCGAAGAGAAAGAAACTAGATCCAGAAGGCCAAGTATCGCATGATTCCATTTATATGAAATATCTGGAAAAGGCAAATCCATAGAGACAGAAAGTAGATTAGTGGTTGCTGAGAATACGCGGAAGGAGGGAATGGGAAGTGACTAATGGTTATGAAGTTTCTTTACCGGGTGACTAAAATGTTTTGGAAGGAGACAGTGGTGGTGGTTGCACAGCCTTGTAAATACACCAAAAAAACCACTAAATTGCACGTTTAAAATGTATACATAAATTATATCTCATTATAAACCACACACACTTAGAAGAGGTTCCATTTGCCCTCTTAAGAAAAAAATCAATAAGCTTATTTAGGCCACCTCCTACCTTCTGCTAAATTAGCCTTATATTCATTACATTCTTCGATTAAAACATTTTAAAACTCTAAATTTGAGACTTTAAAAGGTTAAAACTAGTCTCTCCATGGGCTGGATTTTGTGGCACAGAATGGTTCTGGGCTTCCTCCTATTTTTGATGCTCCCGTTGAGTCTATTTGGAAGCTCCTCTTCTGCTATATCTTGATATCCCTAGCCCTCTTCTCAGTCCACACTCTTACTAGATGATTTCATTCCACTTCTACAGCCACAAATAACATCTTAATGTTGATGATTCTTAAATATTTCCAGACAGATCTCTCTCAGGTCCACACACAACTTTTCATTAGACATCTCTACTGGGTGTCTTACAGACACTGAAATCAACATGTCTAAAACTTGACTCATCGTCACTCCTCCCAAAATAATAAAAATCAAAATCATATCCTCCTCTGCCTTTCACTACTACCCTACCTACTTAGTTTCTGTTTGCTTTTTTTTTTTTTTTTTTCCTGAGACAGGGTTTCACTATGCTGCCCAGGCTGATCTTGAACTCCTGGTCTCAAATGATCTTTCTGCCTCAGCCTCCCAAAGTGCTGGGATTACAGGTGTGAGCCAACACATGGCCTTCTCTACTTACCTAGTTTCTATCTACCTAGTTTCAGAAGCCAGAAACCAGGGTTTTCTCCTTAATGCTTCCCTCCTCCAACTTTATCCAATCGATAAGCTCAACTGGGTTCTCTGCAAATGTCCTCCACTCTTCTGCATCCTAATTACCTCTACTCTAGATTGGTGAGAATCATCACCTTTCCCATAAATTATGATATCTTCCACACCTCCTTGCCTCTTAACAAATTTATTCTCACATTGCAGCAAAGCCCTACCCCAACCCTCACTCCCTAAAACTCTTGACCGGTCTTAAAAGAGCCTTTGTGTTCTGGCTCCTACTTCTCCTCTCACCACATGACCCCTCTCTTCACCCTCATTTTATGCTTCAGCAATTCTGAAACACTCATGATTCTTTTGGTTCTAGGCACTTACAGGTGCCAGCTCCTGTCTTCCTGACTCTCAACTGCCCACATCTTTCTTGTCCTTAAGGTCTGTGCTAACATGTATGTTACTTCCCTTGGTTAAATCTTCCCCGACCCTTCCATGGCCTGGCTAGTTGCTCCCCTTCAGGCTACTTTAGTACCAATGCACTTCACCCCATCGTCACACTTATTATTATCCTATATTGTAACAGTCTCCTATGCTTCCTACCAGACTGTAAGCTCCTTAAAGGTATGTACACATACTGTCTCTTGGTAGATCGTTCTATCCCTAGCATCTAGCAGAGGCTGCCACATAGTAAGCACTAAAAAGCCCAGCATGATGGCTCACACCTGTAATCCTAGCACTCTGGGAGGCTGAAGCAGGAAGATTGCTTGAGTCGAGTTCAAGACCAGCCAAGGCAACACAGTGAGACCCCCATCTCTACAAAAAATTTAAAAATTAGCCAGGTGTGGTGGTACACACTTGGGGTCCCAGTTGCTCGGGAGGCTAAAGTGGGAGGATCACTTGAGCCCAGGAGGTCGAGGCTACAGTGAGCCGTGATCGCACCACTGCACCCTAGCCTGGGCGACAGAGAAACCCTATCAATAAATTAAAATAAGCACTCAACATGTTTCCTGCATGAATGAAACACAGTGACACCAGTAAATCAACTGTTTTTATATTGTTTTTTGTTGTTGTTGCCCAATAAGAAAAACTTTTACACGCCCAAGAATAATAATTTATATGCACTCTGAGCAAAGAAAAAAATTGGTTTATATCCACCTACATTTTTCCATGGGGTTATAAAAGTGACTGAATAATTTTCACAAGGCATGTCACAAACAGCTTTACTAGAATTTACCCCTATAACTCTCTATTTGTGAAACCTTGGGAAATACCTTAACTATTACTGGGCTAAACTTACCTTTTTTAAAAAAATATTGTATTATCACTATGATTGTTTTTTAGAGACAGGGTCTCACTTTGTTGCCCAGGCCGGAGTGCAGTACTATTCACAGGTGTGATCGCAGCATACTATAGCCTGAAACTCCCGGGCTCAAGCAACCCTCTTCCTCAGCCTCCAGAATAGCTGGGACTATTCACAGGTGGGATCACAGAACACTATAGCCTGAAACTCCTGGGCTCAAGCAACCTCCTGCCTCTGCCTCCAGAATAGCTGGGACTACAGGCACACACTACCGCATGTGCTAAGCTTATCTGCAAAATACAAAAATGACTACTTCACATTTCATTTCTTCAGGAGGATGCTCTAAGAACCAACTAAATGTATGTATATCATTTGGCTTACTTGAAGAAAAGGCACCACATTAATATAAAGGACAATACCAAGGCAAAGAAAAGTTCCAAGGTCTAGTTGCTTTCTATACTCCCTTAATGCCAAACTTTACGACTTAACTTGTTAGGGATGGTGGCCCTTTTTACAAATATTTCCAAAAAAGAAAGGCTAAACACACTCACAAATTGTAAACAAGGTTGCCATGTTCTCCTTGTTTGAATTGGAGTCTTCCATTTGCAGTGAAGGTGATACAAAAGAAAGACTGTCTGAAGATACATCTACATGACCTGTCCCCATAGCAACCTCCTGGGTGATGGAGGAGACAGCCACAGGTTCTAGGCTGAGGCCAACTTCATGGAGGGAAACAGATTCTAGGGAGGCAAGGTTGTGTGAGGTAGAGAGTGCCACGCTTACAGAGTTGGTGCTCATGGCCACAGTGTGAATGGAGTCACTGAGGGCACTGTCAGACATGCCATTGACCCGACTTGCAATGTGGTCTGTCTCCATGACCACAGGGAGCTCCAGGCCATTCCCATGCATGGGTATCACACCACCATGTCCTACAGCGTCTGCTGCAAGGTTGTTGCTCACAGAATCCACAGACAGAGGTTCATGACTTCTGGAGCCATTTGGGATTTGGGAATGCTCGCCTGCAACACCGTCCATCGTAAGCTCCTCTGCCATTCCATCTGTCGAAATTGGGCTGGTAACCCTAGAAACGTTCTCCATAGTGATTGCTGTGTCCAAGGCCACCTCATGGCCATCACTGGGATGAAGACTTTGGGCACCATGTGTGTTCACAGAGCGAGAGTCTATTGAAACAATGCCTGGTTCTAATCCAACATTTCCATTGGACTGATAGGGATCTAGTGCTGAAGGGTTATTGGTGATAGATAATGCTGTATTACCATCAACATTTATAGAGTTAGGGTGGATGTACTGTGGAGGTGGTCTGTCAGCTAAATAAGATAAAATGCCTGAGAAAAGGAAAAGATGAGATATCAGAGACTTTTAGTACATTATTAAAGAATTCCAAGCACTAGACGCTATTTCCTTACAAACATAACTAAGTTCAAATAATCTCCTGCTTCTTTAATTTAATCGATACACACTATTTTATAAATAGCAACATACATATACCGTAATTGAGTTTTTCCTGTAAAACTCGAAAATCCTAAAAAAGTTAACTATGTTCCTTTGAAGCTAACTGGGAATCACTAACGAAAACACTGCTTTTAATATACATATGGTTGCAATTCCTGAGTCCTAAGGTGTAAAATTTGCTCTCCTAATTATTAAAAGGTAAAATGATTTAAAAACAGATCTTCCATGTGAAAAATAAAACTTAATTAAATATAATTTAATATAATTAAACTATCATAACACAAACTATTTAATACAAGTCACAATTGTACCTGTTTTATTAAAACAAAAAAAAATTAACACTTGTGCTTGGGAGGATATGGTGAAATGATACTTACTAAACTGCCAGAGGGAATGTAAACTGCTAAAACTTCTTTGTGAAGCATATATATTAGGAGCCTCAAAAATGTTAATACCCTCTTGCACAAGAAATTCCACTTAAGGTACTCTTCTCTAAATCCATTTTGTAAATATTATACATAAAGACGTTCATAAGAGCATTAGTTACAATGGTAATAAAAACTGGAAAAACCAAACTGTCCAACAATAAAGATAATAAACCATCAAATACCCATTCAGTAGAAAGTAATGCATCATTAAAAAGGATAATTATGAAAACCACGTAGCAGCAAAGGAAAATACCCATGTAACAGCAGAGAAAAAGATAAAGTGAAAAAAGTAAAGACAGACAATCGTATAGAAAGTATGGTCTTGGGCAGGGCACAGTGGCTCATGCCTGTAATCCCGGCACTTTGGGATGCTGACGTGGGCGGATGGCTTCAGCGCAGGAGTTCGAGACCAGCCTCGGCAACATGCCAAAACCCCATCTCTTTTTTTAAAAAAGTTATTTATAAAAAAGAAATGAAATATGGTATGGTCTCAAGGCAGGCATGTGCCTGTATTCCAAGCTACTCAAGAGTCTGAGGTGAGAGAATCACTGGAGTCCAGGAGTTCCAGTCCAGCCTGGGCAAAATAGTTGAGACTCCGTCTCCATTAAAAGAAAAAAAAAAAAAAGAAAAGAAAAAAGAGAGCAAGAGAAGAAACCGTGGTCTTAATTATGAAAATTGGTAAAAACCTATACACCAAAACAAATGGCAGGAAGGAAGTACACCAAAAAGATGGATGATGGGACTGAGTGGTTCCTTCCCTTATTTGCTAAATTTTCCGCAATAAGCATATAATACTCCTATAACAGAATAAAAATTCAATGAACTTAAAAAACATGACACTATAACAAGACACTATAGTGCTTGACTGAAATTATAGCTGTAGAATTATAAACACCAAATGAAAGAGATACTGGAGGAGAAAGAAGAAAAATTATGTGCAATTAAGAAATTCAGCTTAGTCAAACTGTATTACTAATGTGTTATGTGCCACATTCTAAGAGGAAAAGTACATAAATATAAACAAAGATACTTTTCCTGCCTAGAGATTAATATCTAATAGTGACAAACAGAAAAAAGTGTTATTCATATCTTCAGGATAAAAGTTTAAAAGCTGGCGCCGTTCTTTTTCTCTAACATCTCAAGTAACTGTAACACTTACCAGGTAGAATGGTTCTGAAATAACTGCTCTCCAGGTGAGGGTAAGGTGGTGGAGGTAGGGTGTAGTTTCTTTCAGGTAACCCACACATCACCCCTCGATCCCCAATACCCATTGGTAGCATTAAAGACAGAGCAGAAGGCAGAGAGCTCAGGGAGGGACCCAGGTTTGGAATTGCCACTGGGAGGCCTACAAAACAAAATTTTTTTTCTCAGTTAAAAGAAAATAGGTAATTAAAAATTCTCACTACAACCACTGGCTAAACTCTTAGAAAGGTTTTTACACATGGGCAAAAATCTCACCTACTAGCCCTTTTCATCCTTAGATAATGTGCAAATATCCACAAATAAGCCTAAAGAAAGTAGTCTTAGTCCCAAAGATAGTTTTTAAGTTAGTTCTAAACCGGCAAGTTGATACTCCAATTGTCTGTATTGCGCTTAAATACAAAAATATTTAATTAATTAATTTATCGATTGATTTGAGACGGAGTCTTGCTTTGTTGCCCAGGCTGGAGTGCAGTGGTGTGATCTCAGCTCACTGCAATCTCGGCCTCCTGGGTTCAAGCAATTCTCCTACCTCAGCCTCCTGAGTAGCTGGGATTACAGGCACACACCACCACACCCAGCTAATTTTTGTATTTTTGCTAGAGACAGGGTTTCACCATGTTGGCCAGGCTGGTCTCGAACTCCTGGCCTCAAGTGATCTGCCCACCTCAGCCTCCCAAAGTGCGGGGATTGCCACCATGCCCAGCCAAAATATTTAATTTAGAATTAAAAACCGAGTTTAAATACAAGAAAACAAATTATATAGAGAAAAAAACAATGGAAACATAAAATGTTCATAGGAGTAGTCCCTAGGTAGTGATAGTATGAAATTTTTTTGGTATTTTTAAACTTTATTGTATTTACCATTTTATATGGTGAGAATATTTCATTTCTACCTGGAAAACAACGTAGTTTAGTTAGATGTAAAACTGTACATGTACACCTTCATACAATCTTTTGTATATATGCTACACTTAGTGATTAATAAAAGCTTTAAACGTGAGATTATATCTACTTTGAGTTATATGTACTTGCAAAGTGAAGTGACTTTTACTGGGCTAAGTATCATAATAAATACCCACCAACTTGGTCAGTGCTGATTTGCATATTTTTGCCAGGGGCAATATTTTTTTTTTTTGAGACAAGGTTTTGCTATGTTGCCCAGGTTGGAGCGTAGTAGCATGACCATGGCTCAGGCAACCTGAGCTTTCCTGGCTCAAGTGGCCATCCCTTCTCAGCCTCCTATGTAGCTCCTACGTAGCTGGGACTACGGGTGTGTGCCACCATGCGCTGCTAATTTTTTTTTTTTTCTTTGTAGAGATGGGGTCTCCTTATGTTACCTAGGCTGATCTTGAACTCCTGGGCTCAAGTGATCCTCCTGCCTTGGCCTCTCAAAATGCTGGGATTATAGGCGTGAGCCACTGTGCCTGGCTGGCAATATTTTTTAACAGGCTTTTCCACCTTAACAAGAGTGTCCACTAAAGGGAATGCCTACAAACAATCAAGTGGGTTAACCACTAATAATTTTTTAAGATTTCTTTTGTGGACACTTAAACAAATGTGAAGAGACCCTAGTTTCAATGAATCTTATTTAACTGCTGCATTTTATTAATTAAGCAAGTAATTCTCTTTAGAGAACTATTTAAACAATATATAGATTTATTTATACTAACTCCTACTGTGACAAAGAAAGTCCAATACATAACAATGTCATTGATCCTAAAGAACTGACAGCTTATCATTGTAATAATCAATAGAATATTTATTCCATTTATATTCTATTTCAATAGAATAAGAAAATGAAGCTAGGCAGAAAAAAGGTTTTAAAAGTACAGTGACGGCTGGCGCGGTGGCTCACACCTAAAATCCCAGCACTCTGGGAGGCCGAGGAGGGCGGATCACCTGAGGGCAGGAGTTCGAGACCAGCCTGGCTAATATGGTGAAACCCCGTTTCTACTAAAAATACAAAAAATTAGTTGAGCATGGTGGCGTGTGCCTGTAGTCTCAGCTACTCGGGATGCTGAGGCAGGAGAATTGCTTGAACCCGGGAGGCGGGCGGAGGTTGCAGTGAGCCGAGATCGTGCCATTGCACTCCACCTTGGTCGACAAGAGCGAAACTCCATCTCAAAAAAGAAAAAAAAGAAAATGAGCCAGGTGTAGGGGTGCATGCCTATAATCCTAGCTACTCAGGAGGCTGAAGCAGGAGAATCACTTGAACCCGGGAGGCGGAGGTTGCAGTGAGCCGAGATCGTGCCCCTGCACTCCAGCCTGGATGACAGAGTGAGACTCCATTTCAAAAAAAAAAGGATAGGAAGAATGAATTTTTCCTATACGATTTTGCTGTGTATGGAGGCTCATGAGGCGTTCCATGTAAAAGCCCCAGGTAAAAGTACCACACTTCTTTCCACATTAATTCTAGACCTGGTACACTTGCAGTTATTGCCATTTAATTTCAAACCTGGTGGAATATAAAGCCCAATTCCCCATGCTCTCTGGGAATAGTTATTAGAGTAATTTTAACTGATTCTCTTCTATTAACCCAGGGAACGGGTACTGAAGTGTGAACCAGATGAATGGGCAGCCCTAAATAAAATGCCAAGTTAATTACAGCTCTGGACAAAAAGCTACCAACTCAGAAGAGGACTATCAGAAAAAATTGCTGCTACTATCCACTAGAATTCTAATACTCTACCTCTACAAAAACCTTATTTTCCATTACCTATCACATGTTGAACCACCATTCAGGCCTGCTTACCTTCTCCCTTCTACCTTCTACCCTTAAAGGGGCTCTGATCTCTTCTAGACTCCATTTAGAATTGATAACAGAGTTAAGTGTTGAAATGCAGTAGGTCTCCCTTACCACTCACCTGGGGCAGGGATGGCACTGTGAGTGGGTGAGGCAGCCAATCCCAGGTGACTTCCTGAGACTGGCAAGGCATTGCTCACAGAGGATGAAGTCAGCTGCTCCATCCCCACTGGACTCAGGTTCATTTCATTCATCCTAGAAAAGAGCACACACAACTAGTTATGCAAAAATTTACTCCAATGACTCTGTATTAAGATACTGAAGAAACTGAAACAGTGGGGATGGGGAAATGGGACTTGGCCAACTATTAGTTCACTTTTACGCTCAACAATTCTCTTAGATAGCTAGTGCCATATTCTTTCTACTGATAAGAAAACTGAGATTGAGACATTAAAAACTCAATTCAATGTCACATAGCAGAAATAGGATTTGAATTCTGCCTTGTTCGAAACTCTAGGCACACCATCTAAAGCAAAGTCTGCAATTCTTAGAGCACAATGGCAATGACAGTTTTTTTTTAAATCACTCAAGCTTCATCTTTTATAATATTTATTTTTCTCCAAATGGCTTATTATTTCAAACCAGTAGTGTTTTAGGCAGCGCATTTTAACCTACTCAAGTAAATTTTACTAATCATTTTTAATAGGAGTTAAAGATCCAGATTATCGATGATGTGAAAAGCATCGTATTTTCCCCATTCAGCAACAGTTTACTAAGATTCTGTATCAGTATATTAATGTCCTCCAAATATTGAGGGTCATTATGTAAGCTTTGCTACCACTTCACTTAAAATGACTTCAAATCCTCACACCAATACTGCAACGTAAGATAGATGAGGGAACTATGGCTCAGAGAGGCCATGTCATATGCCCCAAATCACATAGCTATTAAGTGAAAGATCACAGATCAAACTGCAAAACACTGCCAAAAAGTTTTTCATTGCACCAAACTTTTTTTTAACTGCACCAAACTTTTTTTTTAACTACAGACTATTTTTGGCAAGGTGAAGAACCTAGGAATCACCTTTTCTATGCAAACCATCTTGCACTGCCATTACAAATGTCTTTCGAATAAGAGTAATACTGATTTGAATAAAACAGCACTGAAGGTTGTTATCAAAAAGTATTAGTTCTTATATCATAATTTAGAGACTGCCATACTATAAACATTACAGAACCACTAGGCTAGCCAACAGGTTACCCAAAAGGGGCTCTCTAATGACCTCCAGTCCTTACACTGGGCTTTATTCTCTGCGTATGGGAGGGGGTGAAGCAGAGAAGAGGAATCAAATGAGGTTACATATTCCTTAGCAGTGAAATCAAATCTAAATAGGTTTTTAATTCTGAAAAATGGCAATGCCATTTTATCAATCAACCTGAAAATAATAATAGCTAAAATTTATGGCTCCCTTACCATGTGCTATGTATTGGGCTAAGTGATTTATATGTAACTATCTCTCTTAATCTTCTTTTTTTTTTTTTTTTTTTTTTTGTTTTTGAGACAGGGTCTTGCTCAGTAGCTGCAAGCTGGAGTGCAGTGGCGTGATCACAGCTGACTGCTGCCTCTACCTCCTAGGCTCATGAGATCTTCCCACCTCAGCCCCCAAGCAGCTGGGACCACAGGCAAGTGCCACCATGCCTGGCTAATTTGTTTTTATTTTGCAGAGATGGGGTCTCCCTATGTTGCCCAGGCTGGAGGTAGGTATTATTCTTAATCCCACTTTAAAGATGAGGAAACTTAAGATTCAATGATGCTAGGAAACTTAACCCAGAATCACATAACCAGTAAGGAGAGCTGGGATTTAAATTCAGAACTAATTTAAGAAACCAAAGCTCTTAACTATAGTAAGAAAAAGACAATTACAATAAAAGAACTATATTGCCTTTTACACAGTTGCAATACATTAGGGCCTATCTACTTATATTGTGGCGTATATTTAAAGTTCCACATAGACCTGTTTCTTGCATTATTAGGTTTCACCCTTATCCCTGGCCATGGATCCCATAAAACTAAGCTCTAAGACATCAATAAAATGTAAAAGGCCAACCTAGTACCTTGTATAGAACAGACATTCTGAATTTTCTTATTTTATCGGATGGAGCTATGCAAACTCATCACCCTTACCAGAAAGACAGCTAGAAGCACCTGGCAAATGAGGTACACCTTATGAAGAACAGCATGCTAATAACAGTTTTTATTATGCTATAAAATAAAGCAGCCCAGGTGTGGTGATTTACACCTGTAATCCCACACTTTGGGAGGCCAAGGCAGAAGGATCGCTTGAGCCCAGGACTTGGAGACGTCCCTAGGCAACACAGTGAGACCCCTGTCTCTACTAAACATTTTTTTTAACTTAGCCAGGCATGGTGGTTCGTGCTTGTGGTTCCAACTACAGGGGAGGCTGAAGTGGGGAGGTCGGGGCTACAGTGAGCTCTGCCTGTACCTCTACACGCCAGCTGGGGTGACAGAGTGAGACTGTGTCTTAAAAACAAAAAAAGCAAAAAATCCCTGTAGCCTAAAGAAAACATATCTACCTTAATTTTGAAAGTTGCTGGGCTTGAGTTGGTTTAAAACAGACTTTTCCCTAACTCTTTATAGCTACAACCATAATTAAAACACTACAATCACTACAGCTGTAACAGCCTACTTAACAAATTGGTTACAATATTTTTTTAAAAGTACAACTACAAGTCTGCACCTTCAACTCTCATTCTGAAAATTCCTGAATATTTATTTAATTTCAAGATAAAAATCAGCATGGTGTTTCTAGGTTGACTCCTAGGCCTTCTCAAACCAGTTCAAACCAGAGTTTAATGCGAGAGGCTCAGCAGATTTCTGCTTTGTTGTGAGTCACTAAAACGTGATGACCTCAGCAGCCATAAACCAAAGGTAATGAGTATCCCACAGAGAGAAGGCAGATGAAGGGAATGTACAATATGATCCTCATAAGACTTTCTCATTCTAAAATGCAGTTCTATTCTCATTTTCTTTCTCCTATGAGATTCTAAGAAGCAATCCCGGAAGAAGGCAAGAATCAAGATACTAAGCTCTATCTTCCCTACTCATTTAGGGTAAAATAATTTCCTACACAGTTCTACAGTTTATGTGTGTGTTTCTAACTGACCTATGCAACCATCTGCCAGTTGCTGATTTTACACCTTTTTCTTCGCATAAAATATAATAAACTAACTGAAATGCAGCCACTTTGAAAAATGCAGTGGGGCTTCAATAATTTCAATGAATTTGTGCCTTATCTTCCTTATTCTAAACATACGGCCTTTGAAAGGGCCTTGAAAAAACAGCCAAATGCAACAATTTCTGTGGCCTGCTTCTGTACTTAAACATCAGCATGAAGCTTGCAGAATTAAGAACTTAATTCCCTCACTATCGTCCCTGCCATACCAGCAAAACTCAAGGTGAAGCATAATAAGATAACAATACACGTTGGAATCCGGAAAAATATATTAAACGCTCAAATAACTGAAAGACACAGGAAAAGGTGTCAACAAGCCAACAATAAACGTGTGGCTACTGGGAACAACTTTCCACATGTGGAGTAAATTAGGATGCATGAGATTACATTCCACCCAACACTAGTTTCTGGATTTGTTTCCTTTGCAAATCACACCTGTAACCTTCTCAATGGCACCAAAAACAACGGCACTGACCCTGGACACTCACTCGCCAGAGTTTCCAACGATGTCACCAGTGCTGAAGCCCACCTCCCTACTCACCTGTGATGCATCGGCTTGGGGCCAAATATCAGAGAAAGGAGCGCTCGGGTGGTGGGGAACAGGCATCAGGGTTTGCGTTCCAGGGTCACGTGCTACCACATCTTGCTCACAACCGCTGCACCGACGCGGCCACTCGTCCCCGGGGTCGCCCGGGGCCGCCCAACTTCTCCCGAGGGCCGGTGGCCGTGCACCCCGCCACGGGTTGGGGCATCTCGGGGAACACCTGGGGCCTTCCGTCCAGAAGCTTCGGGAAGGGGGCTGCCCAACCTGGGGGAGTGGGGACAAGAGCGGTCACCAAAACCACAACAAGGTCGCAGCCCCCATCCCAGCTACCCGAAAGCCCCAGGCGCTGCCGACACCGCCACCCAAGGGCTGTGGATTAGCCCGCCCGCGGCCCGCAGGCCGGGCCGCCGCGCCCCGCCCCGCTCCGGCCGGGCCCGCGCGCAGCCCACCTGCCAGCTGCGCTGGGGGCGCACGCGCCTGCCCCACTGCTTTGTTCCTCATCCGGGCAGAGTTCGCCTCGGGGCCCTGCCCGTCCGCTCGGCCCCCTCACCCCGGGGGCCGCTGCCCTAACGTTTCCCGTCCCGCCCGGCCCTTCCCGGCCCGCGGCCTCCTCTGGGCCGCACCCTCTGCGGCGCGTTTCCGGATCCTCAGCCACTCTCAGCGCCCGCCGCTCCGCCCCTCGTGCGTGCGCCCTCCCCGCCGCGGCCCGCAAGCGGCGCCCGCGCACCGCGTCGCCCTTCTCCCAGCCCAGGCCCCTCCGCGCGTGCGCACGGCAGAGGCACTGGCCGCGAGAGGCTCGGCCGGGAGTTCCGCGTCTCCATCCGGCCGGGTAGAATCGAGCGCCGAGCGATCGGCCCATGGTTGCTAGGCGACCAGGGCTGCTGTTCCTGCAGGGATTGAGTTTTGAATCCCCTAAATCCCGCAGACTCAGGATTTCGTCTTCATGACATTCCCCTACTAGAGAAGCATGGGTCCACACAAAGCCCCCAAAATTCGAAGTATGGGATTTGGCCCCGAGGGTTGCCTCTGCTGCCCAGGAGGAATTGGGATTCTATCCTGAATATTTTCGGCCGTCTGCTACACCTGAAGGCTGCCCAGTTTCCCTGCTTCCCGTCGTAAATGCTGGGGTTTGGGATTTTAAACAAAATTTCCTTCCCCTTTTCTCTGCCCTCAGTTCTCTACTGCGCGCCAGGCACTGTGCCTAACGCTAGGAGTACCGAGATGGCTTTAAAGGAAGGTGGTCCCAAGCTCCTGAGCAGTAGACGTTGAAATTACACCACACTGCCTGGTGGCTCCCTTACACCAGCAGAACAGCAGACCCAGGAATTCTTCCTGTCATTCACAAAGCGTCTGTTGAATTACATCTCAAACCTAGGGATACAGAGCAAGGCACAAGCCCTGACCTTCACCTGCCTGCAGTCTAGTGGGAACTGATGAATTTTGAAAATTCAGTCTAATGTGAAAGGGTAGAGGCACATGCAACCTTTTGGACGAGAGCTGGGAGGGGTGTCAACCCCCATAATGTTTCCCTTCGTTTACTTCTCATGGGGGGAAAGCACATTCCAGATGAGGAAACTTCACTGAACATTGGCAGGCAGGTCACATTGGTTTTGCTCTCTGTTGACAACAAATAGAAATCTAAATCAAGAAGGTCATCATCTCAACTGAGAGACAGTATTCCCTGAAATGCCACTTCAAATCTGGAGCCTAGAGAATGATGATGTATCTTATTACCGGCCGAATGCTTTCACTAGGTTTGGGTTTGGATGTCTGTTCTTTTGGAACAATTTTATTAAGTTGAGAGGTGAACATAAAAATCAGGTCACATAAATGTAAGAGCTAAAACCATAATACTTACAGAGGAAAATAAAGGCAAAAATCTTTGTGACCTTGATAGGACAAAAAAATCACAAACTATTAAAAAATTGGAGCAAGTGCAGTGGCTCTCTCCTCAGCACTTTGGGAAGCTGAGGTAGGAGGATCGCTTGAGCCCAGGAGTTTGAGACCATCCTGGGCAACAAAGTGAGACCCTGTCTCTACAAAAAATAAAAAAAATTAGCTGGGCATGGTGGTATGCACGTGTAGCCCCAGCTACTTGGGAGGCTGAGACAGGAGGATAGCTTGTGCCCAGGAGTATGAGGTTGCAATGAGCTAAGATTGTGCCACTGCACTCCAGCTCAGGTGACAGAGAGAGACCCTATCTCAAAAAAAAAAATGACAAATCGAACTTCATCAAAATTAAAATGGTTGATCTTGAAAAGATACTGTCAACAAAATGAGTCAAGTGAGAGACTGGGAGAAAATATTTTCAAAACAAATATCTGACAAAGGATTTGTATCTTGACTATATAAAGAACCCTTTAAACACAATAATAAGAAGACAATTAAATTTAAAAACTTAGGCAAAAATTTCAACAGCCATTTCACCAAAGAAGCTATATGGATGGCGATTAAGCACACAAAAAGATGTGCAGCATCATTAGGTATCAAAGAAATGCAAATCAAAGCACAATGAAGTGATATTACACACTTACTAGAATGGCTTCAATTAAAAAGACCAACTATAACAAGTGTTGGCACAGATATGGAGCAACTGGCACCCTCACATTTTGTTGGTGGGAATGCAAAAAAAATGCCACAGCCATTTTAGA